>NC_000013.11:70226287-70377802 GCF_000001405.40 Homo sapiens | reverse complement strand
GTGAGATTATTTATTCATGGTCTCTAAGAGCTTTTATTGCCTACATTGGGAAGACATAACATGTAGAAGATAAATAAAATGCAAAAATTCTCTAAAATAAGTAAAGGACATTGTACAAGCACTGATAAGGGAGTAGTCCATTCTGGGGGAACGAAAATCAGGACTAATAGCCATATATCCACATAAACAGCTGTTAGTCAACTCAAAATATGGCCAATGTTTAATAATAATACAAACATAATTTTAGTACCACAATTTTTATTCCTATGAATTTTTCATCCTAATGTAGCAGAGTATGATTGACCACATTGCTCATGTGGCATTGTAGCTGTCATAATTTAAATAAAATATCATTAATACAAGGTCCACAGGAAAACACAAGTCTAACTCAGCCCCTTTTATAAAAGAACTAATCCCTTTCACAAAGGCTTCATCTTCATGATCTAACTACCTTCCAAAAGCCCCATCTCCTAATACCAATGTTGAGGATTGGGATATCAACATATGAATTTTGGGAAGACATAAACATTCAGACTATAGCACAGAAAAATTTTAAAATAATTAAAATTACTCAATTATAATCATACATTTTCATATACAGATCTGGGACTCAAGCAGATCTGTACATGTCCTATCTATAATGAATTTTTAAATGAAATATTTAGCAATTAATCAAATTCTGTGCAAGATATGTATATGTTTATTTTCCTTCTATTAGAATCATGTTATTTTGGACTTCCTGGACATCTTGAGTTAGAAGAATGATGTTTTAAGTGTGGGGGTCAGCAATTTTGATGTGATCTTTCAAAGTTACCTCTGTAAATATCAAATTTGAGAGATTTAAAAAGTTACATTCTGTGGTAGAACAATAACGTATGAAGAATTGAATTCAGAGAACAATCAGTCATCCTCCTCCGTTTCTCTATAGTGGTATAACCTGGGCTATATTTTCTTACTTTACAGTATAAGAATTAAAGGTGTACATGTTAGTTTTAACAGCATCAATTACATATTAACAATGGAGTACTTTTAAAGGTCCAAGTTCTTGTGTTTCTATGATATCAACCATTAATTATCAAAGACATTTTCTCTGGGTGGTCAATATTGTTTGAAGGTAGATAGATTTTATATTTAAGAAATTTGGGTTGTGTGGACATAGATGAATAATGGTTAGTGAGCTGTCTTTATTCAAATTATCTAGTGTTCAGTGGAGAATTAAACCTATCCCAGGGTCTGCAATCTCAATTGCTACCCAAGCAAAGGGTTGGCTAACTTTTGAAGAGAAAATTACTCCTTCTATAATTACCTACTATTTTCAACTCTCCTAACATCTGCCAGCATAAGTCTTCTAATTTTATAAATGACTGCATTTTAGACAGATTTCAATGCTGGTTGTTTTTTTTTGTTTTTTTTTTTTCAGCTTTTTAAAGTCCTTTGGAAGAGAAAAGTCCTTCCTTTGTCCTCTCCAGACTTCCACGTTTCACATCTGTAATCAATGCAGTAATATAAAAAAGTGACAAATTTGGATATCATCTGTGCATTACCAAATTTCACATCAACCAGCTAATATCTTATTAATGTTGTGGCAAAAGCTATGCTGGTTGGCAGAATGGTTTACTTAAGAATTACAGTCTTTAACTTCCTAGTTAGAGTGGCATTGAATACATAAGCCAAATTTGTCAATTTCCCAGTTATTAGATGAGCATGCTGAGCCATCTCTGTACTACGAAAAGCACAATTACAAAAACATTTGCCCTCTAATGTTGTGATGGTTAATACTGAGTGTCAACTTGATTGGATTAAAACATGCAAAGTATTGTTCCTGAGTGTGTCTAAGAGGGTGGTGCCAAAGGAGATTAACATTTGAGTCAGTGGACTGGGAGAGGCAGACACACCCTCAATCTGGGCGGGAACTATCTAATCAGCTGCCAGCATGGCTAGGATAAAGCAGGCAGAAAAAAATGGAAAGACTAGACTGGCCAAGTTTCCCAGCCTTCATCTTTCTCTCATGCTGGATGCTTTCTGCCCTTGAACATCAGACTTCAGGCTCTTCAGCTTTTGGACTCTTAGAAGAGTCATTTGTCAGGGGCTCTTGGGCTTTTAGCCACAGACTAAAGGCTGTGCTGTCGGCTCCCCTACTTCTGAAGTTTTAGGACTTGGAATGATCTACCACTGGCTTGCTTGCAGATGGCCTATGGTGAGACTTTGTATTGTGATGGTGTGAGTCAATTCTCCTTAATAAACTTCCTGTCATATATACATCTATCCTATTAGTCCTGTCCCTATAGAGAACCCTGACTAATACAAACAATGAAAAGTTCATATCTTCTAAGTAGATATGAAACATATATATATGAACTAGAAATATTTAGAGTACTGAGTGGGTTTAAAAACAATGCATTTTATGATGAATATTTACAGATTTAACTTTTTCCACCGATATATTTTTCTGTTTCCATTGATTGTCCATCTACATTTAACATATTTACAATTCAATTCAGGTGTAAAGTAGACTGCAAAGACAAAATATATAGGACAATGTAAATAATAAACAAATGAAGAATTTGACATGGGAAAACAAATAAAATACAATATGAGGAAAATGTAAAAATAAAAACCCACAAATAACAAAGGAACTATAGCTAATGATTTAAGAGTAAGGACTCAACCAATGACTTGGGTTTGAAGCTTACGTCTAAAACTGGATAGCTATATGACTTTCAGCAAATTAGGCAGCTATTTCCCCAGTTCTATAGCCCCATAGTTTGTGGTGAGGTTAAAGAGTTAATATATATGCAGACCTCAGAACAACACACATCACAAAATTAAAACAATGTGTTTGTTACTCAATATGCAAATAAAGTGTCAATGATTGCCACTATTCAGCTTAAATATAACTCAGGTCTTTCTAGTAATAAAAGTACAAACAGCACAGATTTTTTTACATTTTTCCTTTTTAAAATTTAGTTTTCTCATGTAAGAATTTTTGTAAGAATTTTAAAGCATATAAATGTATGGTCTTGTATACAATTACTATCTATTACCTGTTTGGCATTGTTATTATCATATAATTCTCAGAACACATATCAACTTGCAATTAGCAAAGATTGTTTTATGTTTCTGTTTTTATTTGTTGGCACTTTTTTTGCTAATTTATAGGATTAATTTTTGATGTTGCGATTAGGAAAATAGTATTTAAAAATGCCAAGAACATTTCTTCTAAAAACACATAACTGTCCAGGCACGGTGACTCATGCCTGTAATCCCAGCACTTTGGGAGGCCGAGGTGGGCAGATCACCTGAGGTCGGGAGTTTAGACCAGCCTGACCAATATGGAGAAACCCCATCTCTACTAAAAATACAAAATTTAGCCGCGCCGTGGTGGCGCATGCCTGTAATCCCAGCTACTCAGAAGGCTGAGACAGGTGAATCGCCTAAACCCAGGAGGCAGAGTTTGCAGTGAGCTGAGATCGCGCCATTGCACGCCAGCCTGGGCAACAAGAGCAAAACTCCATCTTAAAAAAAAAAAAAAAAAAAACATAACTAGTATTACACGGAATGGAATTTCCTAAGTATCTTTTGATAAATGTTAAAGTAATAATGTTTAAATCCAACTTAATACATATAATTTCTGAGAGAAATTCAGTTAATATATGAAGATATATATAATATATGTATATATACATATATACACAGAAACATAGAGAGCTATAGTCTTGAACTATATATATACACATGTATATTATATACATATACACATGTATATTATATATATATATACACACACATGTATATTATATATATACACATATATACATGTGTGTATATATATAGTTCAAGACCATAGCTCTCTTCTGGATAGGTTATATATCTAAATCATGTCACATATAATTTCTCAGGAGGTTTCAGACAACAGTTGTTTAGCAGACAGTTTAAAACTGAATCACTAATAAGAGCTTACAGTCCTGAAATTCTTTGTTATTCAGTAATTATAGATACATGTACTTTAGAAAAATTATAAGGCAAGGTTGTATGTATGTGAATGCATATGAATGTTGTTCCTTATATTTAAGTCATCTAATGAGGAACCCTGTTGATGTTATGAACCTCATTATCTCCATATAAATGAACTCTAGAAGTAAAACCTTATCTCCACATAAATGTGAATAAAGCCAGAGTTTTTTCCAAGAAAATGCCATGATTTGCAACAACAAAAATCAAAACAGAAATTATACTTACCTAAATCTACGTGATATCCTAGAGCCAAGAAAATTTTAGTTTGGACTTTTTCATTGTATTTATTATTAGTGTTCTATAATAGCTTTACTAGAGAAGACTCTCAATGGTGTACTCTTTCAATGTGAAGTTCAAAAGAAGAATTTCTCAGTTAATTCTATTGATTCTAAGGTGTTCTTGCCAAAAATGAAAACCATAGTGACTAAAGCACACAACAAAACATCTTACTATTTCAGGAGATTATATTTGAATCACATTTTGGAGTGTATTTTTAAGGATAATTTTGTTTTATATTATCGTAGAATACACCACTATAATCCCTTCTTCAATATTGCAGTTAGCTATTCATTTTATTTTGCAATAACTTAAAATTCATTACTGTAAGAACTTACATACCTATGGAATCAAAGTGATTTCAAATAAGAGGGACAGAAGTGAATAGATTAGAGGGAGGTTGGCATGTCTTTCTTTCCCCACAAAGATTCCCATGTGGTTTTTCACGATCAGAGCTGAAGACCAGTGGTTTTACCATCCCAGAAACTCTAAGTAGTGTTAAAATTCAGGCTGAGACATGCTTTATTAGTTAGCAGTTTTATTAAATTAGTATAGATTAGATAGTAACTAGCTTTTGCCCACAGAATCAAAAGCCAATGAAAAAATCAATAGTTTCAACCACTCTTATTTTTGGTGAAATTCTAGAAATCAAGTGTGCAGCATAGATATATAGCTGAGTTGTAGTTCTAAAGCACACTAGATTTTACTATAAAATGATGACATAAAAATATCTGTGTTTTAAAAAGAAAATTGGCACCACACATAGTGGACTTTCCTTCAAACTATATGTAAACACTTTTTGAAGGATTGAACTATTTCCCTTTTGAATCAAAAATAGACATGGACTATGCTTTATCTTTTTGAGACTATAACCATAGAATAAATTTAAATGAGCTGTTTTTTAACGTTTTACCACTCTTTTGATATTTAAACATAAGAGCCTTGGTATTCATTCCTAAAAGTAAAAGGAATATGATACAGAAGAGAACTTGAAATATATATGTCTTAAATAATTATCAACAGAATATTCTGAAAAAATCACTCCATACCCCTACCTCACTAAATGGGTAAACTATAAAGAAACCTGTATTACAATTTGAGTGGGGAAAGAAAAGTTAACATAGAGGAAGAGCATAAGTAATAATGAAAAATCAGAAATTGGGTACTTTTGAAAACTTTGAACCAGAAATGATCAGGATACATTAAGGGATAATGTGGAAACGATTATCCGAAGGTAAAAGTGGAAAGCCTCTATTCATTTAGTAAGAATAAACAGCTAAAGAACAAGGCAAGAGTTCCCAGTCTTCTGCTGTGCTCTGGCATGACATTGACCTGTGTGGTCCAAAGAATAGAACCCACAGATTCTATTATTTGTAAATATGCGATTGTGCTTATCTATTTTGGTTTACTTTTATATAACCTGTTTGTTATATAAAAGAGACAATTATTTGTTATAGGGAGGCCCATATCTTAAATGAATTAAAAGGAAGAGAGAAGAATTTTAAATTTTATATATGAAAAATAAAATTTCTGAGCCTACAGAATACAATGGCTACTAAAGTCAGGCTTTGCCTAGACGGGGGAAAAAAAAAGTTTACAATTGCAAATACTTTACCGTCATGAGAGAAAATTGGCCAACCCAGGAATTAGAGAATTTTAACATAACTTACAAAATAGAAGTAAAATTGGGTCTGGCATTAAGGGAGCTCTAAAATACAGGAAAGAAAATTGTCAAGGGTTTTCCTTTCTGATTCTGAGGGAAAATGTAACATTACGGAGATCAGGTGAGATAGTATCACACTTCTCTGATCTGTGTTCTGTGTATGTCTAATAATTGATTCCTACATTTGGAGGAATAGATAATATGCTAGAACCATGTACCTAACTAGTGAATGAGAAAATACTTGGGCCAGTGGGCTGCATGCCTAGTCTACATAAATCTGCAAGCTTTTAGTAAAAGTTCCAGATATCACTTAGTTTCTGTTCAGAATATGAGAGTAAAACTACATCATTAAGGATTTTCTGCTGAGCCTAAGATAGCCCAGTGGTTGCCTATGCTTTTCATGTGATGGGTAAGGAAAAGTTCCATTCAAAATGCAAGACAGACCCATGGATCTTAATATAGCAGAGTAAAGAATATTTTAATAGGGTTTTAGATACCAAATCATAACCAACCTTAAAAAAATGACCATATGCTGAGTTTTGGCATAGTATTAAAGATAAATATCCACAATCATCCAAAAAGGATAGTGGGATAGCCACAGAGGTGCAACACTCCAATCCATCTTCAGGGAAACAAAAAGCAAAACAAAAACCCTGCAGTGACGAATATACTTAGCTAAGGAGCATTCAGATGCAGTCCCACTGAGATCCCTGCAGCAATCAGGCTTAGGCCACGCTCGCTGTCAGATGCTCCCAGCTGAGGACTATCAAGCGAGGGCAGTAAAACTGGGCCACTTCTGTTTAAGGTGGGATTCCTCAAATGGTCTCAGTTTCCTGTTGCCCCTCATCAGTTTCGCCAAAATTTTCTAAAAGTTACACTGATGTCTCGGGCTTTTCCTTCCAGATATTTCTTACTTTCTTCTCCCTTATTCAGTGTCAGACCAGGAACAGTCTGAAAGCTCTCTCTGACTAATCTCATACTCTTTCTGGTACATCTTTCAAAGAGGTCTCCTCCAATATATAACTTGTGCTATTAATTCTATCTTTGTATCTGCTGCTTATCTAGTATGCTGTTCAAGTGCACTGCTAGTTCCAACTAAATGAGCATGGAAGGTGAATTTTCTTCATGTATGCCAACCAAAACTATATATCACAATAGGATGAATGTAAGTGGATAAGAAAATCCAGCTGTCTTGTATTAAGCCAGATATTAAATGATTTGCAAAAACATAAGCTAGCACCACTCTTTTTACTACTCTTTTCGAAATATTTTTATAATCATGCTAATTATAATAGGTATTTATATTGCAGTTTTAAATTAATATATATTTTGAAATGTTTAAATACATTGTGTATTAGTGTTCCATTTACCATGAAAGAAAACATATTCATAGATTCCAAGAATTATAGGGTAGACATTTTTAGGGAAGGAGCATTATTCTGCATAGCATACAGTGTAAGGATAAAGAGATTTAAGGAGGTTGTGATCTAACTTGGAAGACCGTCTTCTTGACTAAGAATGGAGAAGAGTACAGGACGTTACAATTTGTTTTTAATCACTTTTTGTGTGGACAGTTGTAAATGTTCAAGCACAGTAATAACATTATATTATCATCGTTTTGGAACTGGAAGACAAGCTTTTAAATCTGTCCATTATATTGTTTTTAATTAATTGCCGTATCAATCATTTATCTTCTGAAAAATCATGCCCTGCAATGTGCTGCATTACTTGAATAGTCTTGTTTTCTCCTTTAGAATTAAATAAAAAATTATCCTTTAATTTCAAATGCCAAGGAGATTGAACAATCTGTTTCTTTATTACAGGAAAAATATTGTCTAATCTAATGTTTAAATAGATTTTTTCTCATTTTTGATTTGTGTGGGAAAAAAATTGCCCTGAGGATTGTGTGAGACAGGAGTGACATAAAGAGATAAGAGTGATGATGAGAAAGCATCATCATTTGCTAATGGCTAGTTATCGGTCTCCAAAATATCTTGAACTGAGGTTAGGCTGCTGCTTAACTTTATTTCTCCAAGTATGCTTCTAACCATGAATCATTTTCTGTTCGACCTGAAAGTCCATTAAAAATATTATGGTATATGACCACATGGTATGTTGGAAATAACACTGTAATATGAAGGAGTTATACTTTAGGTTACAAAACTGTATAGCTCTGTAGCCTCTGTTGAGTTTGTCAAATTTTTTAAGTCTCAGCTTCCCCATGGCAGATGACAATTGCTTCCCTCTGTTCCTTGAGGATTATTTGAATAAAGAATGTCATTGTTTGGGAGTGGTTTTTAACATTTAATTTTACCATTAAAATGTTGCAATTTGTCAGGAAGTTTCTATGTATTCATTTTTTCTATCCTCTCTGTGAATATTATTGCACTAATATCTAAAAAATTTACGTTATTTACTACCCAAGGCAATGGCTGATATTACTTCATTAGGGACTGAGTCAGAATCATAAGTGAATCATTTCTATAAATCAGATTTGAGTAGTATTTCAGAGGCTCTCAATTACTTGAAAATATACAATAAGTTTTAAAAATTTCTCTTTATGTGATTATATTCAGGTGTTTTTCCCAAGGCTAAATCAAAATTTTATAGTCAACTATGTTGAGAAGATGCTACATGTTATTTTATATAGCACATTTTGTAATAAATTTAATTTAAATGCAATTCATGTAGAAATTTTTGCTAAATATTTTACTTATGAAGGTAACTTCAGTTTATAGCTATAGAATTATAAATGTTCAGGTTATCAGAACATAAATTCTTTTTTAATAGTGATAAACTAATTTTATGAAGTATTTTAAATGTGCATTGAACATATATTACATAAATCACCCCAACAATAGATTATTTTAGAAAAAGAGTCTTAGTGAAAATAAAGTTATATGTAAAGCTAAACTTCTTAAGAATACACAGTCACCTCTCCTATATAACTCATTGGAAATACAATTTCTAAGAGTCTCAGTTATTAGACTTCTTGCATTTGAGCTTTATCAAGTCCTATGTGCTTCTCCAAATGTGTATTTAGAGAGAAAATATTTATAATTTTACTCATGATTATCACCTGCTCTGATGCCTTCATATTTTCATATAAGGCTCATGGTTTGCTTGTATTAAACAATGCTTCTTAAAATATTCTACCATATTTTAAGAAGCAATTTCTCCAAATATTTTCTAATTGATAATATTTCAGGCTTATACATTTTTATGTTTACTTTGGGGATCACAAGAAAGCTAATCAACTTTTAATTTGTAGAATGTAACAGGGCATATTCACGTAAGTTTATACATACTTTCCTATATTTAATCATAAAATTCAAAAATAATTTCAATTTCAGTACTCAACCACAAGATCATTATCTATCCCATATAAGCTACCGTCCTTTCCATACTAATTATTACTCAAGGGGTGGCCAAGAGGGGATAATCTCTTTGTGGGGAGGGCCAAATGTATTAACCAAATAGACTTAGGAAGGTGCATGTATAGTCCAAGAGAGGGTGGATAAAAAAGAATCAGAAATGTTTTTGAGTTGATTTTTCTTTTACTGCAGTAAAATATACATAAAAATTACCATTTTCGCCGTTCTGTGTGTAAAATTCATTGATGTTATATAAGTTCACATTGTTGTGTGGTTATGGGAACTAAACATGTTTAGAACCTTTTTATTATCTCAGAATGAAACTCTGTACCCACTAAACAATAACTCTCCATAATTCCCTAGCCCCTGCCCCACTCAGCACCTGGCCATCATTATTCTACTACTTTCTGTTTCTATTAATTTGGTTGATGTTTGGAGAGGTCATTTTAATAGGCAAAATCACCTGAAGCTTGAGTATGGAAGGAAGCATGGAATATCTGTCAAACACTTTGAATAACAGTTCACTGCTTCTTAGCGTTTTCAACAAAAATGCCCCATTGTCAGGGTGCAGATGTTCTGGAAAGATGAATACATAGCATAGATTACATTCAGGAGCCACAATGACGTGGCAAGAGTAGGCCGATTGGACTGGACTAATAACAGCCATAGTAGCCAGATTTCTAAGATAACTCTCAAGATTTTCCACACTCTTTCCCTTATGTAGAATTCCTCTTTTGGTTATGTTATGTGGCACAGTTAACTTAAAATAGAGATATTATCCAAGTGAGCCTTACCTAGCCACCTGATCCCTTTTGAAGCAGTTTTCTCTAACTGGTGGCTGAAGGGGAAATCAGAGCTTTACAGCTTGAGGATTCTACCTACTGTTGCTGGCTTGAAGAGAGGAGGGATCCATAAGTCAAGGAATGTGGATGGCCGCCAGTAACTGAAAGCAGCCTCAATTTGACAGAAAGCAAGGAAACAGAAAATTCTATTCTACAACCACAAGTAAGGCTTATATAAAGAATAATATTACTAGAAATAGATTTTCTCCCACACTGTCTATAGAAAATCCCAGACTGTTAAATACCTTGATTTTGACCTTGGTATGCCCTGAGAACCCAGCCATGTCAAGCCAGACATATAACCTATAGAACTTTGAGCCAATAACTGAGTAATAAGTATAGTTTTTGTGTGTGATAATGTATTATACAGCAATAGGAAACAAATATAACAGCATAGACTGATGTATATCAGTGTCAAAAGTGATAAGACAGTGTAATTATGGCTCCAGATGTCAACAGTCTTGACCTTGGCAGTGCAGACATGATAGGCAGCTTGATTCCAGTGAGTGCCTTCAGAGGATGGGCCTTTACTGTGGACATCTATGTGAGTGATGCAGACTGACCATTCAGTAACCTCAAATTTCTGAACAGTTTGTGGTCCCAAACAGGGTATATTTAATAAAGCAGTCTGTAGTCTTTCCAGGGGCAAACAAGCTGTCTAGGCCATTGGCAAAAGTCCAAGAATGAGTAAAAATATAACACAGTTTATCTATGGCAATATTGGCCAGAGATATGAAAATGACCTTTGGTTCTTACTAGTGACCAGAATAACCATATCCACTTTTATTTTTACATAGCCGGCACTAAGATTGAACAATAGTTGAATCACAACAGCCACCATCAGGTTTTAATGTAGCCAAACCAGCGGTGAAACACGGCCAGATTTTTAGGGTAAGTTGTGTCAGTCAGGGTCGACTTAGAAACAGTGGCTTGGCTTCAGGAAGTGGAATGGAAGGAACATAAAGTTTTTTCTGAAGGGATAGCTGTACTCTATCATCAAAATTGAGATAGTATTAGGACCAGGCCATATGCAATTTTAATTTTTTGACAAGTGAAGTTTAAAAGTTTTTCATTTAATTTAATTGATACATAATAGTTGTACAGGGTACATGTGATTTTTTGATGCATGCATACAATGCGTAAGGATTAAATGAGGATATTTAGGATATCCACCTCAATCATTTATCATTTCTTTGTGTTGTGAACACTTCAAATCTTCCCTTCTCGCTATGTTGAAAACACAATGAATTATTTTTAATGATATTTATTCTACTGTGCTGTCAAACACTAGAACTTATAACTTCTTTCTTCTAGCTAGCTGTATGTGTGTACCCATTAACCAACCTCTCTTCATCTTCCTCTTCCCAACTTTCCCAGCCTCTGGTAACTGTCATTCTTCTGTCAACCTCCATGAGATCATATTTTTTAGCCCCTATGTAAGAATGAGAGCATGCAATCATCATCCTTCTGTGCCTGGCCTATTTAGCTTAACGCGATGTCTTCCACTTCTATTCATGTTGCTGTAAATGACAAAATTTCATCCATTTTTATGGCTGAATATTATTCCACTATACACACACACACACACACACACACACACACACACACACCACATTTTCTTTATCCATTCATCCATTGATGGATACTTTGGTTGATGTTATACCTTAGCTATTGTAAATAGTATTGCGATAAACATAAGCGAGGAGATGTCTCATCAATATACTGATCTATTTTTTCTTTTGGATATATACCCAACATGGGATTGCTGGATGACAAGTGAAATTTGTTGGGCTTTTCCCACCTTGTTAGTCTTTAGTCGGAGTTGACCCATCTCAAAATAAGAATATCAGCCAGAAAGTCACAAGGTCTTTATAGGTCAAATGTTCAGTTTCAATGAGAAAACAGTAGCAGGGCAATAACTGCTTTACACAGGGGTTTTTCTGGTAGCTGTGTCAGGAAAGCAATGTGTCCAAAAACCCAAAGGATACCTGTGGAGTAGGTTGCTCACTTTTTCTGGAGGCTCCAAACAGCAATCAGTGTAGATAAAAAGGGGCTCAACCCCTCAGGCTGTGGGGCTCCAAAGTTACATGAGCCATAATCTGCAGGTAAGCGTCCAACACAGCCCAGGCACAAAAGGAAAAGGCTGATTTCTTTTTCAAAAAACATAATTCTAAATGTATTTATTTGCCACTATTTCAAATGTCACAGAAACCTTATTTTTATACATTTTTAAAAATATTTGCTTTATGTATTTTATTTTTTTGTAATTTCAACTTTTATTTTAGATTTAGGGGGTACATATGCAAGCTTATTACATGAGTATATAGCATGATGCTGAGCTTTGGGGTATGACTGATCCTATCATGCTGCTAATGAGCACGGTATCCAATAGCTTTTAAACCCTTGCCCCCCCACCCACTCTCTAGTAGTGCCCAGTGTCTATTGCTGTCATCTTTATGCCCATATATACCCAAGGTTTAGCTCCCACTTACAAGTGAGAATATGTGGTATTTGGTTTTCTGTTCCACTTAAGATAGTGGCCTGCAGCTGCAACCTTGTTGCTGCAAAGGACAAGATTTTGTTCTTTCGTATGGCTGTGTAGTATTCCGTGGTGTATATGTACCACATTTTCTTTATCCAATCCACCATTGATGGGTACCTAGGTTGATTACATTTCTTTGCTATTCTAAATAGTGCTGCAGTGAACGTAAAAGTGTATGTGTGTTTTTGGTAGAATGATTTATATTCTTTTGGATATAAGCTCAGTAATGGGATTGCTGGGTCTAATGGTAGTTATCCTTTAAGTTCTTTGATAAATCTTCAAACTGCTGTCCACAGTGTTTGAACTAATTTACATTCCCACCAATAGTGTTTAAACATTCCAGAAAAAGGCTGATTTCCTGGTAGCTGATATAAAGGACCAATTAAAACGCCCAAACTAAGAGCATACCATTTCTAATGCACAAACAATTCTATATGATGCTAAACCTTTTGTTTTTAGCAGTGGAAGGTCAATGTGACAACAGAAGAATTATGACATATTTCCTCCCAAAAAACATGTATTTGGTGAACAGGACCCTGAATTTTGTCAGAGTTTATCAAGCACTCCTTTTGGTGGAAATGTGATTATACCACAATCAGAGCTGAGAGTGAGGCTTCTGACTTGTCAACCAACTGGGCCTCCCTTATATGGTAAAAGCTATGGGGCTCAGAGAGTACAGATTTTTGTGCCATGTCTTGAACCTCCAATAGTAGCAAAGGGAGAGACTTAAGTATCCTTAGGGGTGCCCTGCAGATATACATCAAAGGCCTTGTAAAATGAATGTGAATTAGTCTTGGTTCTCAAGTGCCAGTGAAAATTTTTAAGAAGTGCTGGAAATGTCCAGGACAGCATGTTATATGCCATGGATCTCTGCACCGGATAAAGTTGTCAGATTGTCTGGAACAGCTGAGACTACATGAGCCAAAACTGAATTTAGTTGATGATATTTGAGTATAAGTCTCTGGCTCTTGTCAGCTTTTTCACTGGCCATATGGGGATTGATGCATGGAGTAATGTATCTCTTATTACTACTGCTGCCTTTCATTTCTTAATCGGGATTTTGATTTTCCTTTAACCTTCTTAGATTCTATATAGTTTCTGTTGGAGCACATGGGAGAGGACAGTAATCACTTCACTGTTTATTGCATAATTAACATCCACACATAGAGAATATTCTCAAGAGAAAAGACAACCAATGGAGACTGAATTTGTGATAACCCACATGTTGGAATTAACAGATTACTAGCTATTATCACTATACTCAAGGAAAAAAATACTAATCATCTACAGAAAGACAAGAAATACCAAATGAAAATAAAAACTCAAAAATAATGGAAATTTTACAACTGAAAATCTCAATTTCTGATTTGGCACAATAGCTTCTTAAACCATACGAGTGGAGAGTGTGAGTGTGTGTGTGTGTGCGTGTGTGCGTGCATGTCCCTGCAGGAATATAAAGTTTATCCCTTCTTAGCAGGTGCTAGTGTGGAGCAAGCAGGAAGGCAGGGGAGCCTTACCTGTGGGGAATGATCTGGAAGGCTTTTTATCCCTTGGCTTCTTGCTTTCAAAACAGCACTTCTGTGTTGTATATCTGATGGTTTCTGTCAGTGCTCAGGCCTAAGGGGCTCATTTCGCCCTCAGCTCTGTTGATCCCTGCTTTTAACCACTTCTGCACATAGCTCTAGCTCCTCATTAGTTACAGTTCTATTGCGTCTCAGCAGGGGAGTGGGGGAATGGCTATCCCTTTGTCAAGATGACTTCTCTTTATAGTCCTATCCTAAGAAGAGAGTGATATCAAGGTACTGTCCTGGTGGCTTATCTTTATCCTAACTCATATTGCTTAACCTCTAAACCTTCCCTCACAGGCAGGACAGCAGAGAGCCCTGACTTCAGTTGAGTTCTGAGGGATGAGAAAGGAGCTGGTTTGGTGTCCAGTCTCCAGGTAAACGTCCTGAGGAAAGACATATTGTAGCAGACATTTTCTCAGATTTGAGACATAGAGCTGCAGATATCTACAGCAATTTTTACTGCTGGGATTTATTTCAAAACTGACAGGTTTTGCTGATGGATTGGATGTGAAGTGTAAGCATAAGCGCAGAGTGAAAAATGACTCCAGAATCTTTAAATCTGCTCTACTGTATAGATGGAGTTGATTTTTAAAAGTTGAAAAATATTATAAGATGATTTTATTTACAGTAAGTTGACTTAGGATTGGACTTATTTTTTTTTCTCCCATAGTCTTCACTTTGTTTTAAAATTTCCCCCCGGCTTTCTTAAGGTATAATCGACAAATAAAAATTGTACATATTAATGGTATATAATATGATGTTTTGATATATGCCAGAATTGAGGTTTTAATGTCAGTTTGATAAACTGAGAAAGGCTTCAGAACATTGAGAAAGAAGTGTGATTATAAAGATAAGCCATGGAACACAACAAGCCAAGAAGGAAGGGAGAATCTGAAAATGTTGAGGAATGATGATGAAATAGAAACAATGGTTGGTAGTTGTGATGGAATTGAAGAACTATATGTCATGACTTGCCAGAAGGAATTGTCTAGAATTCAGGAACAGAATACAAGAGGTGCTATTCAGGTGGAATGATTAAAAATGTGACTTCAGAGTTGTTTCTCTTATGAAAATGACAAAGTTATTTGTATCCAAGTGTGTTCATTTTTTATTGCTGTACACCACATTATACAAAATTAATAGCTTAAACCACATGTATTAACTGTGTTGCTATAGGTCAGGAGTCCAGGCATGACCTACCTGAGTCCTCTCATCAGAATCCCACAGCCTGCAGAAGTGCAGGCAGGGCATTGGTCTCACCTGGAGTTTTCAACACAGGAATATTCCAATTCCAAGTTTATTCAGGTTATTGGCAGAATTCAAATCCTTGTGGTTTTATGAGTAAGAGTCCTGGCTTCTTATGGCTGAACCTACAGTTCTCTGTCACATGGCCCACTCCTTAGGCAGCTCACAACATTGATGTTGGCTTTTTTAGAGCCAGCAAGATGATATTTTATAGCAATCTGCTAAAATGGAGTTCTATATAATAAAATATATTCATGCAAGTAACATGCCATCACCTTAGCCATATTCAATCCCTGAGAAGCAAGGTTCCACACACCCTCAAGGAGGAAGATGATGCATTGTGGGTCTTCTTAGGGATTGTTTGATACACAATGTGTTTGGTATTTATTTTTTATTACTTAATGGTAGATAAATTGATGAGAAGATACCTTCAGACATGTAAGTCTATAATGTTTGCTTTGGATTCAAAAAATAATATATTTTCTTGTTACTGAAATTTTATATTCCACGTTCACTAACACTGTTGTGTAACTTTCAACTAATATCTACACATGAGATTCTCAATCTACTAAATGAATATGATAAGTATACAATTACCTGTTATTCTTTTATTGAGAATTTTTGATGCAATAGCTATAAACCAATTTGAAATTTTTATCCAGGAAACTTCCAGTAGATAAGCAATGTGAATGCAAAACAATTACGAGTAAAAAATGGCCATCACCTAAACTTTTATTAGTCATTCTATTTATGGAAACAACCTATAAAGAAATTTCTACTTAATTTGATTTATCATAGATGTTCTTTCTAGTTTTCCAAAAAAATTTGGTAACCTGACCCTATATACAATGAAAATATGTTTAAAATTAATTTCTGTTATATTGAGTTGCTTATCAATAACATACTTTAAAAATACTTGAAAATCTCAAATGTAATTAATGTTGGAATATTTCTAAGTTTTCAGATAGTGTTACTAGAAGTTTCCTTTTAGTTTCCTCTTTACAAAGAAATCGTTCTCAAGGGAGAGAATTTTAAATATTTTCATATAAATTGTTGTTTTACAGGAGAATTAAAATTTCTGAAGTCTATCTAAAGCACATAGTGAATTAAACGTTTAGCACTTAGGCTGTATATTTAAATCATATAGGAAAAAACTAACATCATTCAAGCTACACTGATGACTGCCGTATCATAATGACTAACATCACTTTTTCATAACAATAACTTTAATAAAGATTGATTTTTCTTACCAACTACCAGTCATTATTCTACACGTATTACATATATTACCTATAATAATTCAATTAATATTTACAACAACGTTTTCAGTTAAGGTCTGTTATGCCCATTTTATAGATGCAGAAACTGAGATTTTGGAAAGTTAAGAAGTATGCAAAGACTCATACAGTCAAATAACTGGCACAGTCATAATTTGAATATGGGTAGTCTGATTCTAAGAGCTGCATGCTTAACAATATGCAACACACCAACACCAGATATTTTCAACAACTACTAGTTAATGTCATTTACTATCATGAGTTAGTATTGAGTGTTGCCAAAAGCTAGTATTAGACCATCAATTAGTGGCCAAATTTTTACTTAATGTAACTATATTATTCCATTATACATACATGCACACACACACCCCATTTTATCTTATCGATACAATGTATTCAAAATCAAGAAAGGTCAAGATTTAAAATTGTCTTTTATTAAGTGTTTTTACACATAATTTATTATTTTGCATGAAAAAAAAATGAGATACCCAAATCCCTCACAACATTCAAGGCCTAAGTAACTCTAATCTTAATTATGGAAGCTATTTTTTAGGAAGAAGAAGATCTCAGTATGTGCTCTAAGATTCTTGTCTAAAATTAACCACCTAAGCATAATAACATATTTACAAAAGACCATATGATGTGTAAAAATTTTGGTAAATTATTATTTAGCTTTCACAATTATTAAAATATATTACCTTAAAGTTAAGTAGTTATTAATAAGAATTCATCTGGAAACTTCCTGAGAAATGCATCTATAAAAAAGCTATAGGATATTTGGAGAATCTATATAGCTAAAATGATATTGGTTTATTTTTAAAAATGAAAAGCAGTTGAACACATTGGTACATAGAAGAAGTTAAAGGAATGAATAAAAAAGTACATCTGTGCATATAAATATTTGTGAATAGTAAATAAAATATATGCAAACGTATACATTCTAAAACAAAATTTCCATATGCTCTATGTACTAGAATTTTTTTTTCTCCAAGAAGAATTCAGGATTTATGACAACCCTAAATGTCTCCCAAACTGAAAATTGTAGTACTTTCCATATATATTCAACACCTGTCCAGAGTTCATTGGGTTCATATGACCCAAGAAAGAGGTGAGGCTAATAAAACTGGAAACTCTTTGTTATAAAAGGTGATGACCATGGAAGTAGAAGTGCAGTGTTTCAAACTGACAGGGTAGTGTCAGTCTATGCTAATAGTTCTGGATATAGACCTGTCACAGATAAAACTGTGGACTAGAGAGAGTACCTAGCAGTAGTCTTAAAAAAATTGTGTGGTGTGAAAAGGAATTCCTATTCAATTAAAGTGAGGGATGCCCACTTTTGCCCTTAAATCTTTAAATGAAAGGCAATTATTTGATGTTTTAATAAATACTTCAATGGTTGAATTAACTTCCTTATACTATTATTTATTTGATGCCCATTATATGAGTGTAAATGAATTTTGTTATGTGTGTTTCAGGTAGAGAGATGTATCAATATATTTATTTTCTGAAGTGAAAACAAATTTACTTTAAAATAAGTTTGAATACAGATTTTTTAAAAATTCTCTTTTACGTCTCTATAGCCAACAGTAAACACATAGAAAAAAATAAAATGTTTTGCCCATTTTTATATAGTCACTTGTTATTTTGCTATTTAGGTTTTTTGGGATTTCTATGTATGTTGTACATTAACTCTTTGTCAGATGTATAGTTTGCAAATATTTCCTCTCATCTGTAGACTGTCTTCTCATCCTGTTGATTGTTTCTTTTGCTATGCAGGTTTTCAGTTTGATGTAATCTCATTTGTTTACTTTTGCCTTTATTGCTGGTGGGTGCTTTAGTGATCTTATCCAAATAATCCTACCTAGACCAATGTCATGAAGTGTTTTTCCTGTTTTATTTAGTAGTTTCACAGTTTCAGGTCTTACATTTAAGTCTTTAATCAGTTTTGAGTTGATTTTTGTATTTCATGAGAGATAAGGGCCTAATTTCACTCTTCTGCTTGTGAATATGCAGTTTTGTCCACACCATTTATTGAAAAGATTGTCTTTTCCTCAATGTATGTTCTTGGTACCTTTGTTGAAAATTAGTTAGCTATAAATGCATGGATTTATAGCCAGGGTCTCTATTCTATTCCATTGTTTGTGTCAGTTATTATTCTATGGCCATACTGCCTGGTTACAGTGTCTTTGTAGTATATTTTAAAATCAGTTAGTGAGATGCTTCCAACAGTGTTCTTTTTGCTCAAGATTGAATTGGCTATTTGGGGTCTTTTGTCATTACATAAGGATTTTAGAACTCTTTTTTCTATTTGTATGAAGAACATTGTTGATATTTTAATAGGGATTGCATTGAATCTGATCACTTTGTATAGTATGGACAGATATTTCTCAGAAGATGTGTAAATGGCCAGGTATATGAAAAAATGTTCAACTCATTAATCATCTGGGAAATGAAAATCAAGACCACAATGAGGTATCACCTCACCCCAATCAGAGTGGGTATCATCAAAAAAATAAAATAAAATAACATGTGTTGGTGAGAATGTGGAAAAAAGGGAACTGTTTTATACTGTTGGTGGGAATATAAATTTGCACATACTTTATGAAAAACATTATGACAGGTACCTCAATAAATGAAAAGTAGAACTACCATATGATCCTGTAATCCTACAAGATCATATGGTAGTTCTACCATAGTGACTTTGATGAAACTGTGGGACAAATCAATTAAATTTTGTTCATATATAAACATTAGCTACTTTTAAACATTAAATAATTAAATATGTGCTTCATTCTGGAGGGTGTACATTTCTGTTACTTCTGAAGCTTTTATTTTGTTGTGTTTATTCTTTTCATACATTTCTAATAGGTAAGCTTATATTCCCTTTATCCATGAATATATGTCATATGGCAATATGCCAAAACACAATCTAATTACACAGTTTAGGAACCTAAAAATTGTTATTTTTATGACAATATTATTTATATTTAGCATAGTTTTGTGTCTCATATATATCCAAAGAGATAGGTTTACTTTCCTGTATATTGTAGGTCTATTCACAGTAGTCAAAATAGAGAACCAACCTAAGCGTTCATCAATAAGTGAATTAATAAGGAAAATGTGGTATAAAGACACAATGGAATACAATTAACTCATAACAAAGAAGGAAATCCTGTCATTTACTACAACATGAATGAATCTATGGGACATTATGTTAGGTGAAATAATGCACACACAAAAAGACAAATACTGCATAATCACACTCATGTGTAATCTAAAATAATTTCATGTAATGGAAGTAGAGAGTATAATGTGGTTATCAGAAGCTGGAGTGTTTTGCAAGGAGGAGGACGTGAAATATTTTGGTCAAAGGATACTTAATTATAATTAGAAAAAAGGAAGAAATTTATATGTCTTAAGCATACCATCTTTTTTTTTTTCTTTTTTTTTTTTTCTTTTTTTTTTTTTTCCTGAGACAGAATCTTGTTCCAGCCCAGGCTGGAGTGCAATGGGAAGATCACAGTTCACTTCCTGGGCTCACATGATCTTCCTGCCTCAGCCCCCAAAGCAGCAGGGACCACAGTTACATGCCACCACAGCAAGCTACTTTTAAAATTTTTGGTAGAAAAGGAGTCTCACAGTGTTGGCCAGACTGGTCTTAAACTCTTGGCCTCAAGTGATCCTCCTGCCTCGGCCCACACAAGGTGCTGGGATTACAGGCATGAACCACCATACCCAGCTCACCTACTGTCTTGATGTAGTAATCAATTGCATGCTCTCTGAGGACATAAACCTATGCTTGCATAATGTTTTGAACCAGGAAATATAATGAGTCAGTGCTTGGAGAATTACACTAATGTGATTTTAACTGATCAAATTAATGCAAATTTCAACATAAAAATTAACTTTTGAAAAATGTCAGGGGCCAGGCATGGTGGGTCATGCTTGTAATAGACCTGTATATTGTAGATCTATTCACAGTAGTCAAGATATGGAACTACCCTAAGTGTTCATTAATAAATGAATGAATAAGAAAAATATGGTATATTTTGGGAGCACTTTGGGAGGCCAAGGTGAGAGGACTGCCTGAGGCCAGGGTTTCAGATCAGACTGGCTGACATAGCAAGACCCCGTCTCTAAATAAATAAATAAATAAATAAATAAAATTAGCTGGGTGTGGTGGTACACACCTGTAGTCTCCAGCTACTTGTGATGCTGATGTGGGAGAACTGTTTGAGTCTGGGTGGTAGAGGCTACAGTGAGCTGTGATCTTGCCTCTCTACACTCCAGCCTGGGTGACAGAGCAACACCCTGTCTCAAAAAAAAAAAAAATCAGGACATAATTTCTGCCTGATTTTATTTCCTTGATCACCAAGTGGACAAATCTCCACAGGACATTATAAAAATGTATGTTTCTTTAGAGTAAAAAAGTTGTTCAATAATTTTTACTACTTAAAGCAAATATAACCTACTTTAAAGGTCTATCATACTAGCAATTCAATTTCAATTTTATTTTCTTAACAGAAGATTTCACAATTTTTCTAATCACAATAATACAAATGCTGAACTATATATGCAATTTATTTCAACAAGAGCATCATGTATCATTCATCCCTGTTGAAATTTAAATTAATACTAATGTTTTCTGACATATCAACCTCATATTTATTGGTTCAATCAACACCCCAGTACAGTACTTATTTTTAAAAAAAAACATATATTCTAATACATTGTGGAAATAAACTCTAAACGCCCCCCTCTGGGCCTTCAGGAATCAAAGACTAGGAAAGATAAAAATAAGCTCTACATTATGTCAATATAAAACAAAACAGTTGTTAATGTATTCAACAAATATTTATTCAGATCTGCACTTACAGTTTGAGGTACTGTACCCCTAAATCCCAAGAGAAAATAAAGATAAACTCTATCTTTATGGCAACAAATTATTCAAGGTAAAGGGTAGTATTTCTTAATGATTTACATAATAATATATAACCGCTTAATGTGTATTATGGATCTATAGGTGTGTGTTTATATATGGGGTGTATGTATGTGAATTGGTGTGGGTATATGTGGGGGTGTGGAGCAGGGTGTGTCAGTATGTGTGTGTGCACATGTGTGTGGCTGTTTGGATGTCAAGATGTGGACATGTGTGTATGTGGGTGTTTAGGGGTTGTGGAAATAAGTGACAGTGCATGTATGTGTGCACTTGTATACATAAATGTGTGTGCATGTGCATGTGTGGAGTTCGTTTGTGTCATTGGTTCTCAACCAGAAGAAATTTTGCCTCCCAGGCAATGTTTGGCAATATCCCCATTCATTTTTGTCACACTAGGAATGGAGATGTGCTACTGAATTCTAGTGGGTATAGACAAAGGAGTTAGTCACTAGATACTGCTTAAAATCTTGCAATGTACACTGCCTGCAACCCCACACAACAAATTATCCCACAGACAGCAGAATACCAACAGTGCTGAGCTTGAGAAACATTGGTGTGTGTGTGTGTGTGTGTGTGTGTGTGTGTGTGTGTGGTGGGGGAGGGTTATGAGAATGTTGTAAAACTTGCACAGTGTAAGCAATCAATAACCTTTTCTGTGATTTTATGCTTCATGTCATAAACAAAACCCGAGGCTGTCTTATCATGTTGTTTTGCATCATCGTTATCCGACACCCCTGGGAAGATTTTTGCTATTCTTGCCTGACAATCCATCTATGAAGAAACATTTAACACCTCTTTAATGTGAGTAGGAGACTCATAAATTTTTTCGAAAACCATAAAAAATACTATTCTAGCAAATATTCTTTTCAGAGACCCTCAGAAAAGAAACTCTTTTTTTTAAGCTACTGAGAGATACTCATTGAATTTTGTTCCCCAAATACTAAGTCATGCCTGATTAAATAAGAATTCTGGCATATCTAAGATTGAGTCTCTATGGAAATAGTTGACTCATTATTACTGATTTTATTACCAAACAGATAACTTTATTAAGTTGGATTCTGTGAATATTGTTGGATGTAAAATATTAAATATATTGGAATGTAAAATTATCTTTACATTTACCTTTACTTGTCTATGGTCCATGAAAAAATGTTAGTATTAAAAATAACATTCACTCATTATGTCTTTTTTTCTAGGAAATTTCTTTGTCGGCCATATCATAAGCTGTATCCTAGGTAGATGATTTAATATTGGCTAGATTATTTAATGCCACACCTTTATTATTATTTCTGTTTTTCTCAGTTTCTGGATTTTTCAGGATCATCTTGATAGAAGAAAAGGCTAAAAATGATATTCCAATGTATTACTGCATTTGTCTTGGGGCTCTTTTTTATTGAAATGACACTAAATCCACTGGGAAGTAGAAACTATGGGTTTGAGGAAGATGGAGCCCACATATCTCTGATCAAACCTTTGACTCTGTAACTATAGCTGTCAAAATAAACTGATGTGAATTATGAAAAAAGAGTTATCATTTTTAACTGCTAGATGTCCTCCTAGAATATATTTTTTGTTCATTATATTTAACAAACATACTTTCTCTGGCATAAATTTGTAAAATTCCTACTATATAGAGATTGTGTACCTGTTAAAGGCAAGGACATGCATGCTACAATCTCAAATATAAAGTTATATCGGGCAGCCCATATACAGTTTATTTTTAAAGCATATATTTATAGTAGCTACATGCTGTCAAGTTCTTCCTGAAATAGTAATGCTCATTGTCACAGATGATATTTAGCTATTATTACCCTGTATAAATGTAATATTCTTTTCTCCCTTGGTTTTGGCAGAATACTATAACCTTTCGGAAGTCCAGAGGAAAAAGGCACCGTTTTATTTTATTTGCACTTTCTCTCCCATCTGTAATGGCATCCAAGCGGAAATATAATCATTAGGGTAGTCCATCCATGTTCTTAGAAAGTCACTGTTGTTTAAAATAAGCCAACTGATATAAATAAGTTGATGTATTGAGTTTATGTGGTTGTCTTTTGATCTGTCAAAAATGCTACCGTTTTCTTGTCCTCTTTAAAAACATTTTACAAATGCCTTAAAAAGACATCAGAGAGAAGGGACATACAAATCAGACTAATCTTTTGCCTGTGGGCTCATCTTTAATACATTATTATCTGTCTATTTTTTTTTCACTTTGACAAGTAAGGAAACCCAATCATGACCAAAGTCATTTATTTCTTGAGGCTACAATCATGCATTGCTGCTTCCTTGATGAGTGAATATATTCACTGGAAGGAAAGACAAATTGGCATCTTAATTCAGGTTATATAAGATTAGACAAAATGGCTATCAGCTGTCCACATATTACTGAAAATAAAGCTATTCTGGTTTCTTCTACAAAAAATATCTGGATTTAGGCTTCTTACATGTTCCTGAAATTATTCTGGGTCATGCAAATGTATGTTGAAGAACTTAAAGGGACATGAAAAAACTGGCTTTCAGATAGCAACTGGCAGACTAAACATAGAATTAGAAAATTAGGGGCTTCCTATCTTATTAACAAATGCTTTTTAATCAGTGCAACAGGCTGTTAATGGATGACAAAGAAGTCTGTAGTCCATGATCTACATGAAAACATTTGGCTGATATGTGTTTTTTTATTTTTTATTATTTTTTATTTTTTATTTATTTTTATTTTATTTTTCTCCAGGACAGTGTCTCCCTCTGTTGTTCAGGCCGGAGTGCAGTGCCACAGTCTTGGCTTACTGCAACCAGCTCCTCCTGGGCTCGAGTGATCCTCCCCCATCAGCCTCCTTAGTAGCTGGGACTACAGGTGTGCACCACTGTATCTGGCTGACATATTCTTTAGGTTTTCCCATTTCTTTCATATTTCCTGGGTTCTTGAACAAGATTTTGCTGTGAAAGGATAAATATAACACTAATTTTCTCAGGCAAAATATAAAGTCACGCTGTACTAGTCATATAGAGAACTATACATGTTACTAAGAAACTCTTAAAGAGATGTAATATTAAAATGAGACTACAAAAATAAAAAGCAAATATTTCCTTTCCTATTAATAATGTATCTAAATTAATATTTGAAGAAAATAATATTAAAAGTAGCATAATTGCATTTAGGATGTTTTAAATATTTAATGAGAACCACATAAAGAAGCATGAGGATACAAAATGATGAGGGCCATTTTCATATAATTTTGGGAAGCAAAATACATTTGAAGTAGTCAAAATTTCTTAACTATGATGCATAATCACTAATATTGGTAGTTACTTCAGTGAAAATATTACATGTTATATAAAGCCATTAATTATTAAAATAACGTTTATTTATGTATTATTATTATTTTTTGATACGCACCTGCTCTTGTCACCCAAGCTGGAGTGCAATGGCGCAATCTCGGCTCACTGCAACCTCAGCCTCCCAAGTTCAATTGATTCTCCTGCCTCAGCCTCCTGAGTAACTGGGCTTACAGGCACCTGCCGCCACACCTTGCTAATTTTTGTATTTTCAGTAGAAATGGGGTTTTGTCATATTGGCCAGCCTGGTCTTGAACTCTGGACCTCAGGTGATCTGCCTGCCATGGCCTCCCAAAGTTCGGGGTTACAGGCGTGAGCCACTGCACATAAAATAATTGCTTAAATACCTAAATTTGGTGTGAATAATAATAATGTTTTAACTGTTCATTTGTTTTAAATCCAGAAATACCATCAGGATGTGTATCATCAGAGATAGAGTGGAAACTCAGACTCAAACGTTTACGCACTTCTATATGGAGTAACCTTGCGCTTGTCACTGTCTAAGTTTTCATTTATACAGGAAAAAATGTGAACTTCACGTGATTATTATGATGGAAACACAATTTGTGTTAAACCCTTCATAAAGACTGAAACATGTCAAAATTCTAACAGGCATTATATGCCATAGAGCAGAAACTATGTAACATACTGAGAAACATACAGGTAAATTAAAAATAGTTCCTTATTTTACATAAGCTTACATTTCAGATAGATACACAGATGCCTGGTCATAAGTTCAATGTTAAGAACTAAACAAATAGCAATTGAGTGCATTATCAGCCATTAAGATCTAACTGAGTTTAAAAACGCTTTAAAGTATGATTATTACCTTAAAATATTTATCATTTTCTGTTCATTTTATTCCTTCAAAGCAGAGTATTTTCTAGTATTTTTCCAGTGAAGGTCTGATATCAGTAAATTCTTTATGCTCTATATTTTTTGAATTTTTTTAAAATTTCATATTCATTTTTAAAGAATGCTTTTGCTGGTCTAGATTGTCATTGTCCCCACCCTCCCTCACACTTCAGCATTTAAAACTTGTTCCGCTTCCTTATGTCCTCCATTTTTCTGAACAGGAGTCAGCAGTTTATGTATTTGTAGCATTGTTCTTTTGCATGTCATTATATATTCTCTTAATCTTTGTTTACAGTAGATTGACTATAGTGTGCTTAAGTGTGGTTTTCTTTGTATTTCAAAAAACAGCCCAAACAGCAAAGACAATCCTAAGCAGAAAGAACAAAGCTGGAGGCATCATGCTACCAAACTTCATATTATTCTACAGGGCATATTAATCAAAACAGCAGGTTACTGGTATAAAAAGAGACACATAGACCTGTGGAACAGAATAGAGAACTCAGAAGTAAGGCCACACACCTAAAACCATCTAATCTTTGACAAACCTGACAAAAACAAGCAATATGGGAAGGATCACCTATTCAACAAATGTTGCTATGATAAATGGCTAGCCATATGCAGATTAAAACTGAACCCTTTCCTTACACCATATACAAAATCAACTCAAGATGGATTAAAGACTTAGATATAAAACCTATAACTATAAAACCCTGAAAGACAACCTAGGCATTCTGGACATAGGAACAGGCAAAAATTTCATACGACACCAAAAGCAATTGCAACAAAACAAAAATCGACAAATGGGATCTAATTAAACCGCTTCTGCACAGCAAGGGAAACTATCAACAGAGTGAATAGACAACCTACAGAACGGGAGAAAATTTTTGCAAACTATGCATCTGACAAGGGTCTAATATCCAGTATTTATAAGAAACTTAAAAAATTTACAAGAAAAAACAAACCTGTTAAAAAAAAGTGGGCAAAGGACATAAACAGACATTTTTCAAAAGAAAGCATACATGCAGCCAACAATTATATGAAAAAAAGCTCAACATCATTGATCATTAGAGAAATGCAAATTGAAACCACAATGAGATATCTATTATATCATCTATTATTGTAAAGTCAACAAAATAACAGATGTTGGCGAGGCTGTGGAAAAAAAATGCTTATATACTGTTGGTGGGAGTGTAAATTAGTTCACTCATTGTGGAAGACAGTGTGATTCCTCAAAGACATAAAAACAGTAATACCATTCAACCCAGCAATCCTATTACTGGGTATATACCCAAAGGAAAATAAATCGTACTAGTATAAAGACACATGCATGTGTATGTTCATTGTAGCACTATTCACAATAGCAAAGACATGAAATCAACCTAAATGATCATCAGTGGTAGACTGGATAAAGAAAATGTGGTACGTATACATTATAGAATACTATGCAGCCATAAAAAATAAGATCATGTGATTTGCAGAAACATGGATGAAGCTGGAGGCCATTATACTTAGCAAACCAACACAGGAACAGAAAACCAACTACCGCAGGTGATCATTTGTATATGGAAGCTAAACAATGAGAACACATGGACACATAGAGAGGAACGACACACACCTGGGGCCTATTGGAGGGTGGAGGGTGGGAGGAGGGAGAGGATCAAGAAAAATAGCTAATGGGTACTAGGCTTAATATCTAAGTAACAAAATAATCTGTACAACAAACTCCTGAGATACAAGTTTACTTATATAACAAACCTGCACATGTACCATTGAACTTAAGATAAAATTTAAATAAAAAAGGGTTCACTTCCCTTGAAATATCTGCAAGTTTATGTCTTCAACATATTGCAAATATCTCAACCATATTAAAAGAAAATTCCCCCAATTTTTCACTTAGCTATTGCTCCATGCAGGTTCTATGTAGCTTTGTGTGTGTGTGTGTGTGTGTGTGTGTGTGTGTGTGTGTGTGTGTGTTTCCATAAATTACTGAGGTTCTGTTTGAATTTTCCACATTTTTATTAACAAATCTACATGTTTGCGGATTATTTTCTTCAGTGTCATCTCCATTCTGCTTTTAGCCTATCTAGCAAATGTTTTTATATCAGAAATTGGAATTTTCAGTTGCAACATTTCAACTATTTTGGAGTCTATTTTTCTGTTAGTATTTTTTTAACTTCTCATTTGCAATTAATATTTTTTCCTTGAGTATAGTGATAATAACCACTAATCTACTAATTCCAACATCTGGGATATCGTAAGTTTAGCCTCCATTGGTTGTCATTTAACTTGAGGATGTCACACTTTCCTCTTTCTTTGAATGTTGAGAAATTTTGTATTATATCCTAGACACTGTGAGGTTATGTTTGGAGTCTCTGAATTCTGTTACTATTCCTTCAAAGAGCCTGCTTTTTTCCCTCCCTCCCTCCATCCCTTTTTTCCTCCCTTCCTCCCTTCCTTCACAGTCAATCAGATGGGTAGGACTGAAACTGTCAGCAGCCTTGTGAGAAGTGGCTCAAATCTCAGTTCAGTTTGTTTACAGATGGGCAGCTTGAAGCCAAACATTTGTGGTACAGGAGTTAGTCAAATTTTGTGGATTTTGACAGAATGTATTCACAAACTTCAGAACACTTGTCCTTTTTTCTCTCCTTTCCAGAACTCCTTACCCATCCAATTTTCAATGGATGTGGTTGGCTTCAACTCTTTGCAATGGCTTTTCAGGTCAAAAATACTATGAATTTTTTAATTGACATTTTAACCATGTGGCATGGTGAAGACTGCAGACCTCAGGCTAGAAGCCATGAGTAGTGGAACACTCAATACCATTCTCTTATTCCAAACTTAAACTCCCTCTAGAATCTGCCGGTATTTGGTTGCTTTCCAGTGAGGTCAGATATTTGCTGTTGTTTTGTTTTCTTTTCATTTTGTTAATAGCTTATAGTTGTTACCTTTGTTGTTTATGGGATGGTTTGGCTGATAATATCCTATCAGACAAAATGGAAGTTTGAAATTCCTTCAGTTCTAAGATTATAAATATTACTTTTTCTTTCCAGAAAAGATAAAACAAAATCTGCAGTGCTACTCTGAAAAAATAAAATGACTATTTTTCTGTTACCAGAAGGATTCTTTTTTCCTCAACAAAGCATAGACTGTGAAAATCAGAAGATAAGAAATTTTTTCTCACTGCCCTTCAGAAATGTATGTAACATTTAAACAACCTACTACTCCCAAATAATACTCCTATTATTAAGGACAAAAAAAAAATCACAAAGCTTCTCTGCCTCACCACAAAATATAAATTAACATTAAGATCCTGGGAGTTTAGACATAGCTCTTTAGATTGTGAACTGGCTAAAGACTTCTTACTTCTCGTTTGTTGATAATTCCTGCTTGAAGTAGCGCTAAATTCCAGCCCAGAGCTTTACTTGGCAATTCTGAACAGGCTTCCTCATGCACAGCCAGAACTGACATTCAAGCCGTATACAACAGTATGAGTGTACTGGATATTAAAATATTGAAATGCTTCAAAAACTCATGGTAGGAATCTATTTCCTGTGAACCACATGCTGCTTTGACCATGGTAAACCACCCTCTGGGAATGCTCTTGGGTTTTATTTTTTAAAAAACTTAGTGAAGTATAAAAGGCAATAAGAAAGTAGAACAAATCATGAATACACAAATGCACAAAAGATCTTAAAGTAAACACACCTGTGCAACTTCACCAAGATCCAGGCATATATAGTAGGGCATTCCAGATGCTTCCTCGTGTAACCCCATGAAATATTCCCACGCGTTTCCTGAGGAGTAACTATCATCTTGACTTCTAGTGCCAGATTAGTTTACCTTGTTTGTAGACTTTATGTAAAGGGAATCGTAACATTTGTCTTCGTGTGTATCTGGTCTCTTGCAGTCACCATTTTTATTTTTGAAGTTTATCATCATTTCATTGTCATAATGTTTTCTATTATAAGAATGGTGCTCAAATTATTCATTCCACTATTGATGAATATTTGTGTTACTTCCATTTTAAGGCCTTTAACTTTCCTATTGTTATGAATATTCCTTTCATGTTTCTTGCTGCTTATATTTGCTAAATTTCTTACAGTGAAAATTAAGGATCATAGATTGTGTGTATTTAGCTTTATTAGATAGTGACAGACAATTTTAAAAAGGGATTTTTCTGTTAATATCTCACAAGCAGTATATCAGTGTTTCACTTAATCCAAATCTTTGACAATATTTAGTACTGTTGGCCTTTTACACTTTAGTCATTTAGTCATTGTTTTTCAGGAGTATAGTGGTATTTTTTACTTTTTTTGAAGGCTAATAAGGTTAAATACATTTAATGTATTCATTGGCCAGTTGGATAGCTTCCTTTGTGAAATCATGTTTACGTTGCTTGTTCTTTTATTCTGTTTATTTTTTCTTTTATATATCTTACAAATTCAAATTATTTGGCAATATGTTAAACATATCTTCTGCTACTCTCTTTTATTGGTACATAATAATTGTATATATTTATGAGGTAAATGTGACATTTTGATACATGCATACAGTGTTCAATGAACAAATCAGGGTAATTGAAATATTCATCACCTCAAATATTTATAATTTCTTTGTGTTGGGAACTTCCCAATTTTTTCTTTTCTAGCTATTTTTGAAACAGACAAGAAATTATTGTTAACTACAGTCATCCCACTGTGCTATCAAATGCTAAACTTCTGCCATCTATCTAACTGCATGTCTGTACCCATTAATGAATCCCTCTTCATCCCTCTCTCCCCACTATTCTTGGCAGCCAACTTTTTTACCTTCCCACATATGAGTGAGTACATGTGATACCCTGTCTTTCTGTGCCTGGCTTATTTAACTTCACATAGTGACCTTCAGTTCCGTCCATGTTGCTGCAAATGTTGATCCTACAGAGATAAAAAATATTCTACAGCTTGTTTTTTACTCTCTTATGAATTGCTTTTGGTAAACAGAAATTCTCAGTTTAGTGGAGTCTAATTAACCATTTCTGTTATGGTTAGTGATTATTGTAAACTTTCAAAGAAATATTTAAGAACTATACATAATACAGGTACACAATTATATTATACTCTTGTCTTTCTGATTTTACCTTAATTTTTGTGTATCCAGTGTATCTGGAACTGATTTTTTGTGGTTATTATGACGGGAATTCTATTTTCTCCAAATATTTAACCAATTTGTTTACTTCCATTTATTATAACTACCATATTATCTAAATCATAGAATTAGAGTTTTTCAAAATTTTACCATATATCTAATTATGTACTTATCTTTTGTACAGTATTTTGGTATACAGCCTTTATTAGGGTTAGAAAAGTTTTTATTATCCCAGATTTAATAACGTTTTAAATTGTGAATGGAAGTCAAGTTTTATTATATGCTTTCTCTGCCTCGTTGAAGGTAATATGGCTTACCTTCACTAGTTAATTTTAAGATTTCTTTTTTTGTATTTGGTTTGTAACCGGTGTGTGTGTGTGTGTGTGTGTGTGTGTGTGTGTGTGTGTGTGTTTTAGTTGGTGGAGGGCGGTGTTGGAGGTAGCTTGGCAGCATAGTTTTCTTTTTATTTATCCTACTTGAAATTCATAATGATTCTTGGGTCACTGATACATTTTTGTCACTTTTGAAAAATTTTCAAACTTTACGTCTTCAAATATTGTTTCTGCCAACCTCTTTTCTCCTTCTGGTTCTCAAAATATTCATCAATTTAGCCAGCTCACTGAGTCCCCGTATCACATAAATATTTTTCCTCATCTTCCTTTTCTTTGTTTTCTTCATGCTGTATTTCTGTATGTTTTTCTGACTCATCTTCCAGTTCACTATTTCTCTCAGATAAGACTCAGGTTGCTTTTGTTACATTCTTAATTTTAGTTTTTGTATTTTTCAGTTCTAGAAGTACTTACTTTCCTTTTGTAATTCTGTCCAGCTATTTCTTCACATTCTTCATACAATATTGTCACATTTTGAATACATGTTTATCATAGTTCTGTTAAAATTTATGGCTAATTAATCTAAATCTGAATCTCCTTTAGTGTCTGTCTACCACGGTAAATAGAGAGGGTTTCCAGGGACTATAGGAATTCAACTGGCTTGAGCAATCTGCCTGCTTTATAGTTTTCTATCTTACAGCCTGTTTTTTGCAATATCTGTGTGATGTGCAATCACCTACTGGTTGAAACCAGTTCCCGACAGACCTCAGTAACTTACAAGTGAAGCCCAGTGAACTTTTCTCATTACCATGCTAACATCTCCACCCTGGAAGGATCTGTAGCTTCATTTCCATGACATGCAACCCACAGGGTGGCAGGGTGACTCCCTGAGTTTGTGCTACAGGGACCCCTCCTTTACATAAGATAATGTACCCTCTCCATTGCCCCATAAAGCCCTCTTGTCACTCTCTCTTGAGGAGACACTGCTTTGGAGAATATTCTTGGTGTTCTTCTTACTTTTAACAAGTAATAAAACTCCAATTGATCAAAACCTGCATTCTCATGAATGTTTGTCAAGTTAATGAACCCTGGTTTTGGGGGGGTGGGGGTGACATCATCTTTTATTCCTCTTTATTTTTGTTATATGACTCTCTCTTCATATGCTTGGTTACTTTTGATTCAGTGCTGGGCATTGCATAGAAATAAATTTAAGTATTTAAGCATAACTTAAGGTCATAGTTGCTGCTATCTTTCTTCAGAGATAATGTACTTTTTCTCAAAGAAAGCAACTTTGTTGGAGGCAGAACTAATCCAATTGGGTAGTGAACGGATTCAAATCGTGGTTTCAGTCATCATGAGGGCTGGTCCCTTACAAGTTCATCCTCATATCCTGTGTGTAGTCCTTCACAATTACCAACTGAAAACCTGGTTGTGTGTTAGGTCTCTTCTTGGACTCTTAGCAGTTAAAAATGATAACTCTCTTTTTCCATAATTCACATCAGTTTATTTTGACAGTGATAGTAAGAGTCAAAGGTTTGATCAGAGATGTGTGGGCTGCATCTTCATCAAACCCATAGTTTCTACTTCCCAATAGATTTAAGTCATTTCAATAAAAAAGTGCCCCAAGACAAATGCAGTAATAAATTGGAATATCATTTTCAGCCTTTTCTTCTATCAAGATGATCCTGAAAAATCCAAAAACTGAGAAAAACAGAAATAATAATAAAGGTGTGGCATTAAATAATCTAGCCAATATTAAATTATCTACCTAGGATACAGCTTATGATATGGCCGACAAAGAGAACTTTCCTGGGAAAAAACATTGTGAGTGAATGGTATTTGTAATACTAAAATTTTTTCATGGACTATAGACAAGAAAAGGTAAAGGTCCCCATGCAATTATTGGCAACTGCATTCAGCTTCTCAGCCTCTCACTTTCGGCTTTATAGTTGGCAAGTGCCTCAAAAGAAGTGCCAGTTGTTGATCTTACCTTTACAGATTATCCTTTGCCCTGATTCTTACTCATTGAGAGTTTTTTCTCCTTTGGTAGCTTTCAAATGCTTTATTCATTTTTGAAAAATTTTGTACAGTTCTTTACTCTCTGCTGTGAATTTAAATAAGTCAGTCCACCATTTCTATAATTGGAAATCTCCATGTGGAGATGTCTTGCCAAAATTTAGCCACTAAAGAAGTGACTTTGCTGACTTGGCACAGCAGGGGATTCACAAACTTTTCAGAAATGACAATGTTAACTGTTCTGCTATAGGTTCCAGTGAAATACTAATGCTTTTAAAATATGTAATATATTATGTTAAATATAATTATATTAAATAACTAAATATAATGTTATATATTTCATATATTTTTAATCCCTTTAATTTTCAGTGTAATACTAGATGACATTAGTATATTTCTTGTGTACATGTCTATATTTTGAGAACGCTGAGCTTATAACTAATTAATACAATAAAGATAATTTATTCAAGATTTTAAAATGTGTCATCTAATCCAAATGAATGGTCCAGACAGCATTTTCTGAATGTACAGGACTTGTTTATGAGCACCCATTATACCATCTTTATAATTTTCTTATATAGCATAAAAAAGAAACTATTAAGAGAAAAATTAAATATTGAATGTAAAAATACTTCAAAACAGATGTTTAAAAACCTAATTACCACCTTAAACATTGTGATTTAATACAAATAGTATTACACAAAATGCTCTTAATTTATATTTTATATTGATATAATTGGGCCTTTTTAATCTTTCTTAATTTATAATTTCTCTTTTTATTAAAAGTAAATATTGAATATTTTTGCTTTACTATTATGTTTTTCTTTAGTTGGATTTATAATTTTTATGTAGTATTTTGAATGTAATATATTCTTTGCTATCTTTCTAGTGGTTAACTTTCACTTTTTAACGAATATAATTAAAATTATAGTCAACTATAAGGTAGAGAATTACTATCACCTCATTACTTTCAAAATAAAGGGTTTCTTCACAATATCCTACTTTATATGTTTTGAATTTATCATCTGGAGTTGTAATTGAGATTGCACAATTATTGTAATATAATTATTGATTTTTATAATTAAATTATTTTACCTTTATCTTATGAGTCGTTTTATTATATTCTTCATCATTGTTATGTTTGTTCTAAAGAAATATTATATTTTCTATGAAGAAATATTAGTTCTGACAGTTTTTACTTTATATAGTTCTGTGCCTTGCTATTTCAACTAACATTGTTTTCTTGCTATTGAGTTCTTTAAGTTCTTTATATAAGCTGGATGTTAGCCTCTTATCAGATATATGGTTTGCAAATATTGTTACAACTTATTCTGTATATTGTCTCTTCACCTTGCTTATTGTTTCCTTTGCTGTCCAAAAGCTTTTTAGTTTTATGTAATCCACTTTATTTTTGCTTTTGTTGTCTGTGCTTTGGGATTTATATCCCAAAAATTATTGTCCAAACTAATGTGATATAGTTTTTCCCCTATGTCTTCCAGCTGATCTTTGACAAAGTCAACAACAATAAGTGATGCAAAAAGGATACCCTATTCAATAAGTGGTGTGGGGAAAACTGTCTAGCCATAGGCAGAAGAGTAAAGCCGGACTCCTACCTCTCACCATATACAAAAATTGACTCAAGATGAATTAAAGATGTAATGTAAGACCTCAAACTACAAAAATCATAGAAGAAAATTTAGGAAATATTCTAGACATTGACCTAGGCAGCAGCAAATTGTTTAGTTTTTATAAATTTGTGTGGCTTAAGATTTCTTTCTGGTATTAATTTCTATTTCATTGTGGTCTGAGAGATGATTGGTATACTTTTTTTTTAATTTACAGAGACTTGCTTTATGACTGAGCATAAATCTTAGAGTATGTTTCATGTGCGAACGAGAAAATACATTCTGTGGTTGGGTAGAGTATTCTTTAGATGTCTACTGGACCCAGTTGGTCCAGTGTTGAAATTAAGTCCAGAATTTCTTTGTTTCTGCCTCTGTTATCTGTCTAATGTTGTCATTAAGGTTTGAAGTCTCTGCTGTCATCGTGTGGCTGTCAAATTATTTCTTTAGTTCTAGAAGTAATTGTTTTATAAATCTGGGTGATCCAATGTTTGATGTGTATATATTTTGGATAGTTAAGTCTTCTTGAATTTTTACTATTATGTAATGCCCTTCTTTGTCCTTTTTTACTGTTGTTGGTTTAATGTCTATTTTATTTGATACAAGAATAGTGATCCCTGCTCTTTTTTATTTCCCATTTTTGTGATACATCTTTCTCTATTGCTTTACTTTGAGCATATGGGTGTTGTTACATGTGAGGTGGGTTTCTTGAAGGCAACAGATGAATGGGTATTTTTTTTTAAATCTAATATGCTGCTCCATGTCTTTTAAATTGAGGATTTAGGCCATTTATGTTCAATATTAATATTGATATCTGAAGTTTTGTTCCTGTTGTGTGTTTACTTAGTTGCTTTGTTGTCTCAATTGTGTAGTTGCTTTATGGGATCAATTGGTTCCACATTTGTGTGTTTTTTTGTAGCGGCAAGTATCATTCTTTTCTTTCCATGTTTAAAACTCTTAACCATCTCTCCTAGGGTCAGTCATTTGGTGATGAATTCCATTAGTGATTGCTTATTTGCTAAAGATTTTACTTCTTCTTTGCAACTTAGCTTGGTGAGACATGAAATCTTTGCGTGGTAGTTCTTTTGTTTAAAACTGGGCTCCCAGTCTCTTCTGGCTTGCAAGATTTCTGCTGAGAAGTCTGCTGTTAGTCTGCTAAGTTTCCTTTTATAGGTAATAAGACCCTTTTCTCTAGCTACCGTTAAGATTTATTCTTTTGTGTTGACCTTGGATTGATTACCATGAGCCTTGGGGATGGTCATCTTGTATAGTATTTCACAGAAGTTACCTGGATTTCTTGCATCTGTATGTTAAACTCTCTAGCAAGATTGGAAAAATTTTGCTAAATTATATCCTTAAATATGTTTTCCAAGTTGCTTACTTACTCTCCTTTTTTCTCAGAAATGTCAGTAAGCCATAGATTTGGTTGCTTTATAGAATACCATATCTTGAAGGATTTGTTCATTATTTTTTGTTATTTTTTCTTTATTTTTGTCTGACTGGGTTAATTTGAAGGTTGAGTGTTTGAGCTCTGAAATTCTTTCTTCTGCTTGACCTAGTCTGTTTAGGCTTCCAGTTGTATTTTGAAATTTCTGTTGTGAGTTTTTCAATTCCATAAATTCTGTCTGGTTCTTTCTTAATACGGCTATGTTGGCTTTAAAATCATAAATAATTTGTTTGGTTTATTGGTGTTAGACCCTAATGTAAATGATGAGTTAAAGGGTGCAGCACACCAATATGGCCCATGTATACATATGTAACAAACCTGCACGTTGTGCACATGTACCCTAGAACTTATAGTATAATTAAAATATATAAGATTTTAACTTTCTTTTGGATTTCATTGAATTTCCTTGTTTTGTTGATCTTTTGTGTTTTTTGTAATCTCCATTTCACTTATTTCTTCTGTAATCTAAATTATTTCCTTCAGTTTACTAACTTTGGGCTTAGTTTATTCTTGTTTTTCCACTTACTTGAGGTGCAATGTTAGGTTGTTTATTTGAGGTCTTCCTTTTTTCTTGATATAAGCATTTACTGCTATAAACTTCCTTTTTAAAGTTTAAAATAGCTTTTGCTATATTATATAGGATTTGGTTGAATTGTATACTTTAAACAGGTGAGCTTTCTGTTATGTAACCTATGTATCACATTTAGTGCAAATGTGTTCCAAGATTAGTATTTTTTTAAGTCAACCAGTTTTTTCTCCTGGAGAGGAAGTTTACCTTATGATGTCCATGGTGATTATTCCTCAAATTACGTTTTCACTGATATTAAAATTGCTGATTCACATTCTTATTGATTAATATTGAGAGTATACCTTTTACTATATTTTTATTTGTCATATATACATACATACACACACATATAGCTTTTAATTTGCTTCTTATAACTTAAAATATTACTGAGACTTTGTGTTTTTAACATTTTATTTTTAAGAATTAACAGACTAATTTGCATTATTTATTAAAATAGCGTTCCTTGCATTTTTTCTCCTTACCTTCACTAACTTGTGTTAGATTTAATTTCCATCTTTGTGAAAATATTTTATTTGCAAAACTAAATATTTGGTAACTTTTAGTTATTCAACTGATTATTTTCTACTTTATACCCATATTAGAGTTCATTATTTTGTCATTGTGAAACAGCTTCATTGTCTGAGGTAAATACCCAAGGTTCGTTGTCTGGTGCCAGGAAGATTTAGGACACCAACACTTAGGAGGAGTTTAGGAACAGAGGTTTAATAGGCGAAAGAAAGAGAGAGGAGAACAGCTCTCCCTCTAGTGGTTTCTGAAAGGAAAGGCCAGCCAGTGGCAGAGTTCGCCAGATTTTATAGTCAGGCTTGAGGAGGCAGTGTCTGATTTATGTAGGGCCCACAGATTGGTTCTAGGGCCCACAGATTGGCTCTATCAGGTGTGACATTTCCATAGGATGGGGAAGGCTGGCCACCCCTCCCTAATCTTATTATGCAAATAGGCTTTCCACTTGACAGGTGCCATCTTGTCTGCTCCTTACTGTATACGTGGCTGGCAAAGGGAAGGGAAGATGGAGCTGCCATTTTGAACTTGTCTAGTCCCAAGTAGCTTTTTCCTGCTCTTATTCACCCCTGTAAGCTTCCATCTTGCTCATCTATTGCTGCAGCTCGATTTTACAGGCTGCTGTTTGTTAGAAAATGATTTTGAGGCTGCTATTCATTAAAAAGGAAAACCTTACTGAGGACTCCCATACCCTCACTATCTGCCTAAGTAATTTCTTAACTCCTAAATCAATTATTTAATAGCTTAAAATGTGTAGGAAACTAAAGCTTGAGAATCTAAGTAAATTGCTCAAAAAATATACAAGAAGGCTAAAAAATAGGCCTAAAAATATCTTCACTGTATGTGGTCTATATTACAAATTGTTTAGTTTATATAAAAGCATGCAACTTCTGGTAATATGGCACAACTTATGATAACATATAAGAAAATATTAAAGCAGATAAGTGAAGAAAAAAATTTAAGTAAATTAATATTGGGTACTTTTTACAAGATATTTTCAGATGGATGTTCTCATATAATTACAAGAAAAACCTTAAAATAGTAATTATCATCTATTTTCATAGACATAGAATAAATGTTTAGAAATGATATATAAATTATTCTCATCATAATGTTAGTAAATTATAACCTAAACTCATAATTTAAGATTGTGAAAGCATGAGGGTTATTTTTAAAGTTTTTGTGTTTTTTTTTCCTTTCCTTTTGAACATTATAGCACTTCTTGTTATAGATGGGTGGGGGATTATTGAAATTCCGTCTCCTGTTTTTCTTATTTCCTCAGAACAATATTTTCTAAATCATGGTTTTTTTTTTTCTTTTGCTTTAATTAAGAATTTCCATCATCCACCAACTTATACTCAAAGACCAGCAGCAGACTTCAAGCTGTCCTCTTCTTGACTGATCATTCACAGGAAATATTCCCTCAAGGGAAAACACATCATTTCTGTATGAAAAATGAAATGGATGTGTCACATGGAAGGGGACTGTCAAGCATAAAACATACAAAGAAGTCCCTTCTCTCAGTTTCATGTCAGTTATTTTTTTACTTCTCATAAAGCAGGCTGTGTTATAAGGTCTTAGGCAAGTACATTAAAATATTTAGAAATTCAAAAGATATTTTTAAAATTAGGAGTAATTAAGAAAACTTTATCTTTTATGTCCATTTTATCTAAGTTCTTATTACAGTATAATTTTGGATTCATAGTCAAATGTTTACTCAGCCCAATTAAATATTTTGGCATATTTTTGATGCATTCTGCTCCAAGCAATAGACTGTTCTACAGCAGTACTAGGGGACAAAGACTATTCTATACTTACAAAAGTATCTCATAATTGACAGAGACTCTCCTTGAGCAAACTTTAGTCAGGCTTCTGTGACTCCTCTTCTCAACTAAGGTTTGACTTTTGTATTTCCATGTTCAAAAGACATCACACGATTGTAGAATATTAGCACAACTTTAGCAAGAATCCTGTTAAGTTGGTTTAGCAACAATTCCCCACCCTCGATATCTGATTATCCTCAATATTTGGCCAGCTTCCCTACTAATGCCCCACCATCCTCAGATTGATACCTGATCATACTGGACTGCCTTCCATGAGAATCCTGTTAGGTCAGTTACCTACTCTCTTAATAAATTTTCCTGTCCCCTGATGCTCAGATCTTTCTTCTTGGTTATAGAGTTTCACTTTTCTTTTCTTTTTTTGAGACAGAATCTTCCTCTGTCACCCAAGCTGGAATGAAGTAGAATAATTATGGCTCACTGCAGCCTTGACCTCCTGGGTTCAAGCTATCCTCCTGCTAGTTCCATCTAGTCTCCTGAGTAGCTGGGACTACAGGTATAAACCCAGCACACCCAGTGCTAAAATTACAGGCATGAATCCCACATGCACCCCACTTTTCTTTATTGTATTCAGAATTGAGCCTCATTCTATCCTGAGGTCTCTTTCCCCCTACTGCAATAGTACCAAATACAATCTATTCTTCACACTTTCTAGCTGTGTCTGTAGACAGTTTCTATCACCGTCTAGCTTTGGTTTTCTTTGACAAAACTCAACCACAATTTTGGTTTTTAGAGTAATCAAAGAGTTTGACAATGTAAACTTTCAGCTTCAATTGTTTTATGGTGCAGATAAAGCAGCCTAATATCTCATGGCTTTAAAACAAATCATTATTTCTGTAACATGAAGTTTGTGGACAACTTCATACCCACTGGATTCAATGAGCTCCATTGGGTTTTGTTTTGGCTTTACATGTCTACTCTTTTCCCAAACCCAGGCTGCAAGGAAAAAGTCTAGAAAAGAAGGAAAGAAAAGGATAATTCTGCTTAGCTTTTCAGAGCAAAAGAATGGGATCTGGATTAAAAGACAAGCCTTGACTTTTTTTTATTATATTTTAAGTTTTACAGTACATGTGCACAATGTGCAGGTTTTTTACATATATAAGCCTTGACATTTAAAAAATGATTGAATAGGTAGTGAGGAAGTTTTTTTCCTTGAAGTGTAAGTTTACATTTCAACGGAGGGGTATGAAACTCAAAGCCATGGGGTCAGTGGTTTATATTCCAAAAGATAGTAAATGACTAGGGAGCAAAGATTGCTCTCCTTCTGTCAGAAGGAGACAGGGGACTGCTGATCCATTACTATATAAACTGCCAGATTCATTATTGCACAGTTTCACCCCTGTGGTGCAAGAAACCCACACGATACATGCTGGTTTAACCATCTGGCATTCATATATCACCCCAGAAGGGAGAAGAATTGGGGTGTACTGAACTGCTTTAGTTATTGCAGTAAATTATAATAATATGTCATTGCTGCAGAAATATTATTTTTGCATTCAGGATGATATGAGCGAATACATATATACACTAAAAACTTGTTTGTAGCCACGGCAAAGGAGCAAATTAGAGTAGCACAAATATGCAGTGTCTCTTAAAGCTTTTGCTTGCAACTCTCACATTATCGCTTAAGCTTATTCTGTTGGCCTAAGCAGATCACACGTCCCAGCACAAAGTCAATGGAGTCAAAGGTAGCATGGCAAGGATGAAGAAATGAAAATTATAAGCAAATATTACCATTTACTATAGTCTATTGCTCTCAAATAATTTCCTCTTTCTTGTACATAAAATATGCTTACCTTTTTTTTAAATACATCTCCATATGATCTCCTTCAATCACAGCACCAAGCTTAAAAGAAAAGTTGTGGCTTAAGTCAGGATTTAATTCATTTCTGGATCTGGTGTCTCTTGATCCAGAAAACTAAGAACTAAATAAAAAACAAATGAATTGTGTTACAATCTCTCAAACACACAAAACCCTCCATAGTGGAAGAGAGAGACAATATGACTATAATGCATTTTCATATTAAGAAAGATGAGTAACAGGGTGCACATAGACAACCCCTGGTTCATGGAAATTTTGAAATCCAGGTAGAGGGACAAATGTTGCAGTGTCACTCTATTCAGTTAGAATTTAATTTTTGACTGAAGCTTCTTCCTCCTGTCCCCTGAGTTTATGTAGTCAGTCCATTATTCATAATTTTTGACTCCACACATTAAGTCCTTTATTTTCCATTATCCTTTTGGACTAGATTTGAAAAGGGAGTTGGGGAATATACCTTCCTTGGTAGTTGAATTGCTACTTTTGCTTGTTCCCTGCCAAAGAAGTTTGAGGTCTCTAGGGTTATTTTACATTTCGGAGTCAGCATCTCTTTTAACTCAAATGAAAGGTGTTAATAATAGAATTCTTTAAACATGTTGGTGTTTATTTTAGTCCACTCGGCATCATCTGCAAATAGTCACACCCATAATCCATTTGAGGATCTCTTTTTCTCTCTCAACTTAATTAGAAGTACTTTGAGCTTGTCAGGTTTTCATGGGATGACACGTTGTGATTCTTCTACCTAGACCATTTATTTAACTGAAAAGATTGCTAGAGTAACTATTCATTTCAAAGATTTTTTTTTTAAGACATAGGAGTTATATCCTTGATTTTACCTTCGCTCTTGATATAGTTTGGACATTTGTCTTCACCCGAATCTCACGTTGAAATGTACTCCCCAGTATTGGAGGGCCCCATGGGAGGTGTTTGTATCATGGGAGAGAAGCCCTCATGAATGGGCTTGGGCCAGGCCCCTTCATGAGGAGGTCGACCTCCAATAAAGCCTGCTTAACTATGAGCAAATTAAACCTCTTTTCTTTATAACTTACTCAGTCTCTGATATTTCTTTATAGCAATGTAAGAACTGCCAAATACAACTCTTATGTTGCATCCTAATTGAGATTGCTGGAAAAATAATCTTTAAGCAGACAGGTAAAGTAATAGTCTTTGTGCTTAGACATAATTTTGAGTATGCATGACAACTACGCAAATCATTGAAACATGTATTTTTCACTATGCCAATCACTAATCTGAAAAGATAAACTCTTCATTTTTTATTATTATTATACTTTAAGTTTTAGGGTACATGTGCACAACGTGCAGGTTTGTTACATATGTATACATGTGCCATGTTGGTGTGCTGCACCCATTAACTCGTCATTTAGCATTAGGTATATCTCCTAATGCTATCCCTCCCCGCTCCCCCCACCCCACAACGTTCCCTAGTATGTGATGTTCCCCTTCCTGTGTCCGTGTGTTCTCATTGTTCAGTTCCCACCTACGAGTGAGAACATGCGGTGTTTGATTTTTTGTCCTTGCGATAGTTTGCTGAGAATAAACTCTTCTTTTGATTTTTCTGGTGTTCTTCAACTTTTGCTAGGCCAACATTTACATAACAGTTTTGCATTTTATTACAATTTGGAAAATTTTTAGATAAACATAATTATTTTTGTTCTTTTTATTATGGCAGTGAAGTAAATCTCTGTATTTTCTAATGGTCATTTTATGAAACTCAAAGATAGTTTAAGCATGAAAGATCTTAACAGAGTTTATTGTTAAGAATTTGGGAAAGACAAAATCAACATTTATCTCATAACTATTTGAAGAGAAATAATTATTGGTAACGTAATGAAAATAAGCAGCAATAAAAAATTTATTATGAGGAACCTAACATTTTAATTCAAGAGTTTTTTTTTTAATTTTCTTGAAGCATACTAAAAAGCAATGAGAGTTAACAGAATAATTGGGTGACAAAAGAAAGCTCTACTAACCTGATCATTAGACAACTTGGTAATTTTACAGAAAGAAGGCCTCAATGAGAACATTAGTCATTACTCATATAAAAATTTGCCATTAAGGATATATTATTATAACTTTACATGTATGTTTAGGCAGTATCAGATACATAAATATATAATTTGTAATTTCAAGCATTTAAATATAGTTTTAAAATATTAACTCATCAGTATAAAAAATAAAACTGATATAATTCATATTAGAATATCCACCTAAATAAATTATAAAGGCAGTGTTAATAAGCAGATAGTAAACTCATTAATTCTCTTATATTTATATTAATGAAATTATTGTGTAACTATATGTTAATTATCAGGCTTAACTAAAATAAATAATATATTTGTTCTCCATATACAAATGATAACTAGATAAAAAATTAAGGCTAGCTGTTTTTCTCCATACTTATTTTATTTCATTATTAAAAATTTGTGAAGCAAAAATAAATTTTAGCCCAAGGTCTGGTTTCTGGCATAGCAAACAGTTCTAGTATACACACATACTACAGAGTAAGTAGAACAATCCATGACTTGGTTAAAAAGCAAAATGAAACACAAAAAAAGCAAACTTTACTTTCTAAAACAGATCCGGTTTAATTATCGGCCATGTGTTCATTGTCTAGGCTTTATTATCTAGGTTTCTGGCTTCAGTGCTTGTTATAAAAACTAGTGATCTTTTCTTTGCCTCTGGAAACTACATGTTACAGTTGGCCAATGTGTTATATCCAGAATCTTAAATGCTACTATGCAGCCATTGTCACATCAGAGAATTCAACAGCTCACCTGAGAACAAAAGGAGCAGGGAGGATCACTTCTAGTTCAGTTACAGAAAATGTACTCTGAACAAACTCCTGATCAGGACAATTTTGACAATGGTGAAAATCTGGATATCCCTGGTAAATGTCATAGTGCCTAACTTCCTCTGCCGGTGACCTGAAGGAAGGGAGGGGGAGGAATTGAGAAAGATAAAACCAGTCCCTGACATCCAGGAACTGACCTGACACAATTAGGCTTTGGTTTTTAAGGAGCTGGCATTCATAGCTAGGCTGTGCTGTTTCGTTGATCAGAAGAGGTGATGACATGACCAAGATAAAGCTAGACAAAAAATAGCAGAACACTTCATATTTATGTCTGATTACAACCAAAACAAAAACAAGGTCTCTGTGCAAGTCACAGAAAATATTAATATCCCTGAAACTCAGCTAATATGAGATTGCTGCATCTTTATTAGTTACATTTTAACTTCCATCTATTCTTCACTGCCTATAGCTAGATTTAAGATACTGTCATAGAATTATACAAAACCATACTTACTTGAGCTTCAAGCAAGTCACATAACAAACTTACAAATCCTATAATACATTTTTTTTCTAACATCGTCTTACTTAGACATCCCATACTTGTCTACTACTGTGTTCTTTTTTATTACAGCAAGGAATAAACCTAACAGTTCAGCTACGGGTATCATGAGAGTTGAGAATGATTGTGTTTGGAAATTATTTATTTGAAGAAAATAAATAAAGCTTTATACTTATTTCGAGATGCTACCTTTTCTCTCCAGTGGTACTAACCTTTACCTAAAAATGAACTAAAATTACATATGAACTAACAGACAGTCAAATCCATGAAAATAGACCTCAGTTAATAATGTTTTAGGATTTTAGATGTCCAAACCAGAGAGTTTACTACAATTACTACTGAGTAATATGGACCTTTGCAAATCAAACTCCTACATCTGACAGAAAAGTATGGAAAACAATGAAACTCTTATAAATGATTTAAACTCTAATCATGAACTTAAAATATCCCAACTATTAGTCTTATGCCTTGAAAGATATAACGGAATTGTGATACTGGCAAAAATTTAGGTAAATTAATCACTTTGTTAATTTCATCACCTGCTATACTTGTTCAATAGGAAGACATCTACAACACAGAACTATCATGTTTCAGATTAAGGTGCAAGAGTAGTAGAACAATATTTGATTTTACTACCAATTGGTTTCTCCTCACATCCTATTTAATAGGTAACTCTTTAGGTGTCTGGGTATTATGGATGTTAACTTTGAACCTTGTATTAGGATTCTCCAAAGGAACAGAACTAATAGAATATACGTACATATAAAAGGGAGTTTATTAGGGAGAATAAACTCCCTAATTTGTGATTGTATGGCACACCATCACAAAGAGAAGTCCCACGATCCGCCGTCTGCAAGCTGGGGAAGAAAGAAGCTAGTAGTGACTCACTCCAAGTCCAAAGCCCTCAAAAGCAGGGAAGCCAACAGCGCAGCCTTGAGTCTGTGGCCAAATGCCCGAGAGACACCAGCAAGCTACTGATGGAAGTCCAAGGGTCCAAAGCCAAAGAACCAGAAGTCTGATGTCCAAGGGCAGGAAGAGAGGAAGAAAACATCCATCACAGGAGAAAGAAGGAAGCCAGAAGACTCAGCAAGCCAGCTTACCCCACCTTCTTCCCTGCTTTATTCTAGTCTGATGTCCAAGGGCAGGAAGAGAGAAAGGAGACATCCATCAGGGGAGAAAGATGGAAGCCGGAAGACTCAGCAAGCCAGCTTATCCCACCTTCTTCCCTGCTTTATTGTAGCCGTGCTGGCAGTGGATTGGATGGTGTCTACCCACATCAAGGATGAGTGTCTTTCTCTCCCAGTCCACTGACCCAAATGTCAGTCTCCTCTGGCATCACCCTCACAGACAAACCCAGAAACAATACTTTACTAGCTATTTAGGCATCCTTCAATCCAATCAAGTTGACACTAATATTAACCATTACAAACCTTCCATACAGTTGACTTTGGGAGGATAGGAATAGACTGGTTTTGTTTATACTGGTTCTATACTGGTTCTTGATGATAACGTAGAAATTACCACCACCACCACCTCCACCCACTCCCCAACCCCTGCCACAAAAATGGTCTATGTTGCAGGACAGGCTGCATGTGGCCTTGACTGACCCAGTTTCAGCACTCCCCACCTTTCCCCTGCCTCATGCTTGTAGTTCTTAAGTATAAACATAGAATGTGCTGAGCATATGAGAATGCAATATCCTGAGATAAGGAGGAACTGTCTAGAACATCCAGACTCTGTTCTTGTCCCTTCTAGAACAGGGAGTCCTACAACACTTTAGTCCCACAATTAACATTGCCCATGTGATTTAAAATCCAGAGTGGAGTGCCTTTCAGGGTCCCTCAGGGGCAGTTTGACATGGGGCATGCACAGTTGGGACTCCATCCATGCTGTGCAGCTATTCTGAGCCTTGGGGTACTGGCCCACCATGAATCCTAGGCTTCCATTGTCCCTGTCTGCCTGTCTATTAGTAATAAAATTGCTTAAGTTGTTTTATTAGTACTTTTTCTGACTGGCTTCCTGCAAGTTGATTGACACTGGTGTACAGTGTTGGCAAAATGTTTAGAGTTCTCCCCTGGGACTGATACCTGTGTACAGTGAACCCACTTTGCATATGTTACTAAAGGGGTTATTGAATCTGACTTATAATTTGTATATCGTTATTTATACTAATATTATTTTTCACTAAAATACACATTTCTATCTAATAATTTCTATAAGCTGGTTTATTTCTCTTTTATCATTATTTCATACTATTTGAGTATTCCCATGTGATAAGATTATTGGTTTAAGGAAATCATTATTGGCTGACAATGAGTCACCACTTATTCAACTCCCTATGACAAGTTAGTTTTGCAAAAATCTGGAACATTTTCAACTCTGAGGAGCAGCCAGGAAAAATAATATATATTTCAAATTAAATAATATACTAGAGTTTGGATATATTTGTTTCATGCAAAATTGCGTATTGAAGAATGAATAAACTTTAAGGCTTTGAATATCATGTAACTGGAGAGAAAGTGCTTCAATGAACATGTTCTCTTTCCATAATTTCATACAAATAAAGGAAAAAACATTAAAAAGATGACTAAAATTATAAGGTTGCTTTTTAGTTGACAATTTAAGCTGCCTGTCAATTCATTTACATGTCAACATCAAGAAGAGTGATTTATCACTGAAACTATTATTTTGACTACAAAGGAAATCTAAACAAATCAATTTTTCTGGATATATATTATATTCATTATTATGATCAATAAAATACATATTTTGATGAGGGAAACATGCCAAAATTATTCAGGAAAAGAAACGTTTTTTGGTTTATGGGAAGAAATATGAGGAAAATTTTAAATGACAAGTTCATTCATATCTATATAGAAAAAATCAATAATAACTGATAATATATATTGAAAATTCACTGTAAGTCATGCACTCTTTTGACCACTGAATCCCCATAACTCTAAGAGAAAAATTATCTTCATTGTAAATAATTTAGAAGCAAAGAACAGAGACATTATGTAACATGCTTGAGTTAATCTAGAAAGTAAGTTGCAAAGCAAGCATTCACAACCAAGAAGATTATAACTATCACTCTAACATTTGTATTATTTTTGCTAGAATTTAGGTCTAGTGGATATGGCACAGACTTTGAAAACAAATGTTATATTCTTTTTACTGTTTGGTACAAGTACATAAAATTTATTCTTATATCTTATTAAATAATGGACCATTTTACAATTAAGATTTTTAATTCATAGTGGGTAGGAGCCATGTACCTAACCATCATCTTTGTATTGTTTATAAATGGTCTGAGTATAGAAGGTATTCAATGACTTGCCTAAGATCACAGAATCGTTTAGTACCACAGTCTGTTAATAATTCAGATTACTCTAATTTCAAACAGAAATGGAAAGCAGAAAAAAGCAGGGGTTGCAATCCTAGTTTCTGACAGAATAGACAAAGATCAAAAAATGCAATCTTTTGATCTTTGATCAAAAAGAAGGGCATTGCATAATGGTAAAGGGTTCAATTCAATAAGAAGAGCTAACTATCCTAAATATATATGCACTCAATACAGGAGCATTCAGATTCATAAAACAAATTATTAATGACCTACAAAAATACTTAGACCTTCATATAATAATAGTGGAAGTCTTTAATACGCTGCTGTCTGTATTAGACATACCATCAAGACAGAAAATTGTCAAAGATATTTAGGACTTAAATTCAGCTCTGGACCATGTGGACCTAATAGATATCTACAGGACTCACCACACCCAAACAAGTGAATATACATTTTTCTCAGTGTCACATAGCACTTATTTTAAAGTTTATCACATAATTGGAAGTAAAACACTCCTCAGCAAATGAAAAATAACTGAAATCATAACAAACAGCCTCTCAGACCACAGCACAATCAAATTAGAACTTAAGATTAAGAAATCCACTCAAAACCACACAACTACATGGAAATTGAACAACCTGTTCCTGAATGACTTCTGGGTAAATAATGAAATTAAGGCAGAAATAAAGAAGTTCTTTGAAAATAATGAGAACAAGGAGACAACATACCAGAATCTCTAGGACAAAGCTAAAGCAGAGTTGAGAGGGAAATGTATAACACTAAATGCCCTCATCAGAAACCTAAAATGATCTCAAATTGACACCCCAACATCACAACTGAAAGAACTAGATAACCAAGAACAAACCCCAGAGCTAGCAGAAGACAAGAAATAACTAAGCTCAGAGTAGAACTGAAGGAGAGAGAGACACGAAGACACGAAAAACCCTTCAAAAAGTCAAAAAATCCAGGAGCTTGTTTTTTTTAAAAAAAAAAAAAATAGATAGATTGCTAGCTAGACTAATAAAGAAGAAAAGAAAGAAGATGCAAATAAACACAATCGGAAATGATAAGGGGGATACCACCACTGACCCCACAGAAATATAACCATTACAGAATGCTATAAAAAGCTCTATGCAAATAAACTAGAAAATTCAGAAGACATGGATAAATTCCTGGACACATACACTCTCCCAAGACTGAACCAGGAAGAAGATGAATCCCTGAATAGACTAATAACAAGTTCTGAAATTGAGACAGTAATAAATAGCCTACCAGCCAAAGAAAGCCTAGAACCAGACAGATTTACAGCTGAATTCTACCAGAGGTACATAGAGGAGCTGACACCATTTCTTCTAAAACTATTCCAAATAATCGAAAAGGAGAAACTCCTCCCTAACTCATTTTACAAAGCCAGCATCATCCTAATACCAAAACCTGGCAGGAATACAACAAAAAAAGAAAACTTCAGGCCAATATCCCTGATGAATATCATTGCAAAAATCTTCAAGATAATACTAGCAAGCAAAATCCAGCAGCACATCAGAAAGCTTATCCACCATGATCAAGTCGGACACATCCCTGGGATGCAAGGCTGGTTCAACATATGCAAATCAATAAATGAATTCATCGCGTAAACAGAACTAAAGTTGAAAAACACATGATTATCTCAATAGATGCAGAAAAGGCCTTCAATAAAATTCAACGTGGCTTCATGCTAAAAACACTCAATAAGCTAGGTATTGAAGGAACATAACTCAAAATAATAAGAGCTGTCTATGACAAACCCACAGCCAATATCATACAGAATGAGCAAAAGCTGGAAGCATTCCCCTTGAAAACTGGCACAAGGATGCCCTCTCTCACCACTCTTATTCAGCATAGTAGTGGAAGTTCTGGCCAGGTCAATCAGGCAAGAGAAAGAAATAAAGTGTATTCGAATAGGAAGAGAGGAAATAAAATTGTGTTTGTTTACAGATGTCATGATCCTATATCTAGAAAACCCCATTGACTCAGCCCAAAAGTTTATTAAGCTGATAAGCAACTTCAGCATAGTATCAGGATATAAAATCAATGTGCAGAAATCACGAACTTTCCTATATGCCAACAAGAGACAAGCAGAGAGCCAAATTATTAATGAACTCCCATTCACAATTGCCACAAAGAGAATAAAATACCTAGGAAAACAGCTAACAAGGGAGGTGAAGGATCTTTTCAAGGAAAACTGCAAACCACTGCTCAAGGATATCAGAGAGGACACAGATAGATGGAAAAACATTCCATGATCATGGATAGGAAGAATCAATATCATGAAAATGGCCATACTGCCTAAATAAATTTATAGATTCAATGCTATTTCCACTAAACTACCATTCACATTCTTCACAGAATGAGAAAAACTATTGTAAAATTCATATGGAACCCCAAAAATGCTTAGGACAATCCTAAGCCAAAGGGAACAAAGCTGGAGGCATCATGCTACCAGACTTCAAACTATAAGGCTACAGTAACCAAAACAACATGGTACTGGTACAAAAACAGGCACATAGACCAATGAACAGAATAGAAATCTCAGAAATAACACCACACATCTACAATCATCTGATCTTCGACAAACCTGACAAAAACAAGCAATGGGTAAAGATTTCCCTGTTTAATAAATGGTGCTGGGAGAACTGTCTAGCAATATGCAGGAAATTGAAACTGAACCCCTTCATTATACCTTATACAAAAATTAACCCAAGATGAATTAAACATTTAAATGTAAAACCCAAAACTATAAAAACTCTACAAGAAAACCCAGGCAATACCATTCAGGACATAGACATGGGCAAAGTTTTTATGATGTAATCGCCAAAGCAATTGCAAGAAAAGCAAAAATTGACAAATGGGATCTAATTAAACTAAAGAACTTCTGCACAGCAAAAGAAATAATTGCCAGAGCAAAAAGACAACCTATAGAATGGGAGAAAATTTTTGCAATCTATCCATCTGAAAGAGGTCTAATGTTCAGAATCTTCAAGGAACTTAAACACATATACAAGAAAGAAACAACCCCATTAAAAAGTGGGCAGAGGATATGAACCGACAATTTTCAAAAGAAGACACACATGCAGCCAACAAACATGGAGAAAAACTCAACATCATTGATCATTAGAGAAATGCAAATCAAAACCACAATGAGATACCATCTCATGCCAGTCAGAATGGTGATTATTAAAAAGTTAAGAAACAACAAATGCTGGCAAGGTAGTGGAGGAATAGGAATGCTTTTACACTGTTGGTAGGAATGTAAATTATTTTAACCATTGTGGAAGAGACAGTATAGTGATTCCTCAAGGATCTAAAACCAGAAATACTATTTGACCCAGCAAACCCATCACTGGGTATATAACCAAAGGAATTTAAATCACTCTATTATAAAGATACACACACGTGTATGTTCATTGCAGCGCTATTCACAATGGCAAAGATGTGAAATCAACCCAAATGCCCATCAATGATAGACTGGATAAAGGAAATATGGTACATACACACCATGGAATACTATGCAGCCATAAAAGGAACAAGATCATGTCCTTTGCAGAGACCTGGATGAAGCTGGAAACCATTATCCTTGGAAACTAATGCAGGAACAGAAAACTAAACACCACAAGTTCTCTCTTATAAGTGGGAGCTGAACAAGGAGAACACATGGAAACAGCGAGGAGAGCATCACACACTGGGACCTGTCGGGGGAGGGGAGAGCATTAGGAAAAGGAGCCAATGCATTCCGGCCTTAATACCTGGGTGACGCGTTGATAGGTGTAGCAAAACACAATAGCACACGTTTACCTATGTAGCAAACCTGCATATCCTGCACAAGTACTATGGAACTTACAAAACAAAATAAACCACAAGTGTATTTTTTCAACTCAGAACTTTCTGTAAATACAAAGGTATGACAGGCTAATTCTTATTTTTTCATTACCAATTTAAGATGTAATATTTTTCTTTTGACTCTACATGCACTCTAGATCAGGATTCCCCAGTTCCAAGGAAACAGACTGGTACCAGCCTACTTCCTGCCAGACCCTAAACCGGGCAGCACAGCAAGAGGTGAGCAGCAGCAAGAGAGCAAGCATTACCACCTGAGCTCTGCCACCTGTCCTGTGAACAGTGGCATTAGTTTCTCATAGGAGCACAAACCCTATTGTGAACTGCAAATCCAAGGGATCTAGGCTGCTTGCTTCTTATGAGAATCTAACCAACCCTTGCTGATCTGAGGTGAAAGAGTTTCATCCCTCCCATCTCATGGAAAAATTGTCTTCCAGGAAAACTGTTCCTGGTGCCAAAAAAGTTGGGGACCGCTGCTCTAGGTCTACTGTCTACCTCTCTTTGCATTTCTCTGTCTTCCTAGGAGTTGGATTTTCATGGACACATGAACCAGGCTCACTTATCTGGTGGTTAGATTCAGTTACTCAGAATTAGGAACAGAGATTAGAGGGTAGGCAGAGAAATGGAATATTATTTCCACTCTCCTTGGCTACCTTGTCATCATTCTGGCAGGGATTCTCAATCTATATCTTCCCCACACTGCTTCAAACAGACTTCCCTTTCCTTTCTTCCTCAGTCCTCTGGTAACAATTCCTGGCTCTTGCCAGCTGCTGAGTATCTCACTACCTTTGTTAGTTTCCCTTAACCCTGATCATTTCTTTTTAAATAGTCACTTTATTAAGTTTTCATTAATTAGACCCTTTGTGTGTTTCATCTACTTCTACCAGACTCTAAATACACATTAATCCAAAATTCAAAATTTTTAGAGAAATGTCCTCAATGTATATTCTATATTTCTTATTTGATCTTAGACTCCATTAAAGCTAACAAAATTATTTGGTTATATTTTTAAAAGCCTGTACCTTAGAATACAGCTTTGCATATAGAGGAAGTTTGATAATATTAATTTTAATTATTTTACCTTCCTTTTTATGTCTTCTAATTAATCATTCACCTCATTCTCACTTCTAATAACTCTCTTTATTCTTAACCTTATGCATTGCGTCTCTCACTTCATTCTGCCTTGAATGCTATTGTAGATTTTGTTTCCTGGAAATAGATTGTGAAGCTGAGATTTGTTTGCCAAAGTTTATTGGGCATTTTATCACATGAAACAATGAGGAAAGCAGGACTGCGCAGAGGGGGAATCTGACTTGCAATGTGATTTTAACTGAGGACTTCTGCTGATTTATGGGGAACTCTAGGGCTGAACTGACTTGCAGAATTCTTTCAAACTGAGACCAGAGTTCCTTCTGCATCATCCATTTGATAACCACAGGCCACACTCATAAAAGATACCTTATCTTTGGAAAGATAGTTTCCTGTGTGCAAGAGCAATTTTCAGTGAGGAACATAGCTATGAGAGTCAACAGGTACTGTCTCCAGCAAGTAGAGGATGAGAGCCTCGATCATATGGTAGAATATAACAGTATCCACTATTAACGTTTTTCCACACTTTAATGATTCTTTAAAATATTATTTTAGGTGTTTTTTTTATTTTGATGTAACCTCAGATTTTATGAAATCATCTTATTGTTGTGAATTTAGATTACTATATAATTTTAGCATTACATTCATGATTCAATCAATTCTCAAATAATTTTATTAACAACGTTAGGCCTCTGTTTCATATCCGAGATCATGTGGAGTGGATTGGGCTTCTCCTTGTCTGCTGAAAATGAAAAATAAATGCTAATAAAATCTTTGATGTGATAGAAAATCATGGAAAGTTCTAAGTTTTCAAATCCAAGTAAGCAGGCACAAAATACATTCTAGGTGAAATATCCAGGGTTGACAAAATGAAAGAGGCTATATCAGCTCCACTATGCAGAACTTGAGGCAGAGTTTTACAAAAGGGGTGACCCTGTCCTGGAGTGGCAGCTGTGGAGACCTTGTGCAAGAAGAGAATTCTCTAAGACACTGTTGTTTTTCACATAATATTATTTCCAGTCACCATTATTTTAAATGCCATATTTCATCTGTTTCTCATCAAGTCCATTTGGCTGAGTGATTTTACTAAGAAATACATGGAAAATAAACATTTAAGATGCAGTTTGTTTATAATAATCAATTTTTTTTAATGTGAATTGTTTTACTAAACTTAGCCTCCCAGGTCTCACGGTCAAAATCAGTTCCTTTTGTTCCCTTACAAACTCTAAGAGATACTCTTCTACTATAGCTCTGCTAAACCAAAGAGATTTTTTTTTCTCCACTTCTAACTTTTCTACATATAGGGAGGTATTCACTAGCATTTGAAATAATTTGTAGTCTTTCTTTGGCAAAACATGGTTTATGGCAAATTCTAAACATTCAGTGCATATTTTTCTTAATTTTCCTGTCAATATGCTGACTTCAATGAACAAGAAGCAAGCCACTGCCTTTTACCTTTCATCATGTAGAAGTTTAAGTATTCTGAGTGGAAGTAGGGGGAAAAAAACTGATGAGGTTTCAGGTTGCAATTATTACTCTGAGACTATGAGAAATTGGTGTTCCCGTTTAGGATTTCCACAGGTTTTTGACAGTGACAAAGACCAAAATTTATGATAAAAGGGTATTCAGTGGCAAAGGCAGTAAGGGAGAAGGGGAATGGTTTAGATGACATTTCTTGTCTCCTTTATTTTGGTCATTTATCTCTTTCATAGACATAAATTGGGTGTTTATTATATTTTGTGTTGGCTTATCTACTCCATAAGGCTATTTCCTTCCAGTATTTGTCAGATGTGACAATATCTTAATTTCCTATATTGTTGTCAACTAGGCTGGTTTGGTAGGCTTTCAAAGGTATTCCATTGGGAAGTGGGGGTGAGAAGATATGACAAATCTCTCTAGCTAATGTCACCACTCAGAAATCTCAGTAGTATGTTCACAAATTGTTTAATATGTTGTCATATTCTCTTTGCCAAATCTCATTAGAAGTATAATTTCCAGGTGGAAGTGTAGATTAAAATATCCTTTAAAATAGGAAATTCTAGCCAGTAGATAAGAATCCATATGTAGTTGGAGAAATAAGTGAAACCAGCACAGATGGTATGGAAGCAATGAAGAATTAACTTGTCTCAGAAGATGATAACTTTTACTAAGTAGCATAAAGTAGTGTTTTTTTGTAATGACATCCATCTCACGAGAACATATTAATAATTAGTGCACAGATTCCATATAATATGCATCTTTCACATTTTAAAAATGACATGTTAAGCTGATTTTTTATTTTCTCTATCCCTTGAGTGGCATTAGAATATGTGTGAGTATGTCACAGATACTTTAGTGATCTGTCCTTTTAATGGTCAACACAAATGTAGTTGCTCTCTTGAGTGCTTGTATTCTGATGATCTTGTTCTCAAATTTGTCTAACATTTTCATAAGTGGATCTCATATATAAATCCTTACTGCAAGCAGACAGGATTGTGAGAATATAAAACACTATTGCTACTTTTCCCTTTTAGCAAGATATGCTATCTTTATTTCAAAACCATGCCACAGGTTGTCAAGAAATAATGAGATCCAGGCTTCTACGATTTCAGTTTAGATTTCTAGAGGCTTGCTTTCTGGTTCTGAGAATCAAACATTCTTTCTTGTTAACATTTGCTACATGAAAAATAGTCCTCTCACAGCATTGCAAAATGAACACCCTGATATTGTCCTATTTAGTTTAATCTGCACCTTTAAGAAGTCTCCACAAAGCCCTTTGGAGAATTCTTGTTAATAATTGGCACTTAACTCCCTTTAGCTCAGGAATTTCTAAAGCTTTTTATTTATCTTTTAAGGTCTTATGACCTACACCATTTGACCAGAGCGAGTGAAACCCTTTGCACACGTGTAGCTACTCATGAGGCCTCTTTGTTCTCTCATGTGACTTTGGCTTTGGGATTACCATGGTATATGATTCCAAAAAGAAAGGAAATATTGGTTATTATATCTTCTATGGAAAGGTCAAAACTTACTTTAACCAAAAAGAGTACAAGAGCATCTTCAACATCCTGAGGAAAAATAACTGTCAACCTTTTCCTGTACCAGAAAATATATATGCCATTTAAGAAAGAGGGCAGAAAATTTTGGTTGAATGAAACCTAATAGGTTTCCTAGCACCAGACTCTCTCTAAAGAAACTTTCAAAAGAAAAATAATCCCAGAAAAAAAGGAAGTGTCAATAATTATCTCAAACAAGTTAAAAAAAAGAACATACAGAAAAATCATTTTTAAAAGATTATAAAAAACTAACAGCATATTATTTGAAAATTTAAATATAGTAATTGGAACTAATAACCCACAAAACAGGGGAGCCTGAATCAGAATTTAGAGTTCTTTGTATATTTTGAATTCCAATCCTTTACCAACTATATGTTTTGCAAACATTTCTCTCAGCCTTTTGCTTGTCTTTTCTTTCATATAACAGTGTCTTTCACGAACAGAAATTTTGAATTTTAATGAAGTCTAGCTACTAGCAAACTGGGAATAGAAGCTATCCTCAACTTGAAACTTGATATAGAAACTCTACAAAAACCTATGGCTAATATACTAAATGTTGACAAACTATATGTACTTTTTTAAGGTCAGGAAAAAGTAAGGGTGGTTTCACTAATAACTCCTATTCAGCATAATGCTGGAAGTTATGTTTCGTACAAGAAGACAGTAAACAAATATAAATTTGTGCTGATTGAAATGGAAGAAACAAAATTGCCTTTACTTGCAGTTAACATGGTTGTCTATGTAGACAATTTCAAAGAATCAATAAAACATTCTGGTGTGTGATGTTCCCCTTCCTGTTGTGGGGAGGGGGGAGGGATAGCATTGGGAGATATACCTAATGCTAAATGACGAGTTGATGGGTGCAGCACACCAGCATGGCACACATATACATATGTAACAAACCTGCACATTGTGCACATGTACCCTAAAACTTAGAGTATAATAGTTAAAAAAAAAACATTCTGGAACAACTAAGGTAGTATAGCAAGGTGGAAGGATACAAGTTAATAAAATAATGTTAATTGTTTTCCTATCTGCTAGTCTCAGAGGAGTTTAAATCAGAGCAGCTCCATCTTGAACAGGGGCTGCGTAAAATAAGACTGAGACCTACTGGGTTGCATTCCCAGGACATTAGGTATTCTAAGTCACAGGATGAGATAAGAGTTCAGCACAAGACACAGGTCATAAAGACGGTGCTGATAAAACAGGCTGCAGTAAAGAGGCTGGCTTAAACCCACCAAGACCAAGATGGCAGCAAAAGTGACCTCTGGTTGTCCTTACTGCTCATTATATACTAATTATAATGCATTAGCATGGTAAAAGACACTCTTATCAGTGCCATGACAATTTATAAATGCCATGGCAACGTCAGGAAGTTTTCCTAAGTGGTCTAAAAGGGGGAGAAATCTTCAGGTCCAGGAGTTGCCCACCCCTTTCCCAGAAAACTCATGAATAATCCATCCCTTGTTTAGCCTGTCATCAAGGAGTAACAGTAAGTACAAGCCGCTGAGCAGCCACAGGCTGGCTCTGCCTGTGGAGTAGCCATTCTTTATTCCTTTACTTTCTTAATAAACTTGCTTTCATTTTACTCTAGGGACTTGCCTCTAACTCTTTTTTGCACCAGATCCAAGAACCCTCTGTTGGTGTCTGGATTGGGATCTCTTTCTGGTAACACTAGTAATAAAAAATTGAAATTTTAAATTTTAAAAATTATTATTTAGCATGTCACCAAAAAATGAACTAGTTAAGTACAGGTTTAGTAATATAAATCAAGGATCTGTATGAGGAAGCCTACTAAATGCTGATGAAAGAAATCAAAGTTCTGTATAAATGGAGGTATATCCATAGATGGCAATACACAATATTGTTAAAATTCCAATTCTTCTCAACTTTCTGTAGATTCAACAAAATCCAGTCAAAATAATAGGAAGCTATTTTGTGGAAAGCAACATGATCCTAAAATTTAAATGAAATGGCAAAAGACATAGCATACTCAACACGATATTAAAGAAGAATAATAAGGAAGATTCACCCATTCCATTTTCAATGCTACTGTACTCAAGACAGTGTGGTGTTCGTGAATGAATAGACACATAGATGAATGGACCAGAGTAGAGAAGTTCAGAAATATAGTGCAGTGATCATTGACAAAGGAGCAAAGGTATTTCCTGTGGGAGCTAATGTACATATTGGCCTGCGAAAGAAAGTAGTTTTGACAAAAGTAAAGAGAGTCTTTTCAATAAATGGTACTGTAACAAATGGATGTTCATATGTAAAATAAATGACACAGATCCTACCCATTTCACAAAAGTCTACTTAAAATGGTCAGAGACCTAAATGAAAATAAAAAAACTATGAAACTTCTAGAAGAAAATTTATGTCATCTTAGATTTTATAATGAATATTATATATAACACTAAAATTGTAATTCACAAAGGAAAAAATGATAAAAGCTGCACCTTATTTAAATTAAATACTTCTGCCCTACAAAATATACCATTAAGGAAATGAAAGTAAAGTGAACAGATTAGGTAAAATATTTACAAACCACACATCTGATAAAGGACTTGTATTTAGAATATGAAAATAACCCTTAAAACTCATCAATAAGATAAATACCTAGATTTAAAAAAGGGATAATGTTCTATACAGACATCACATTAAATATATATATATTTATATGTATACAATATAGATTAAAAAATGGGATAATGTTCTACACAGATGCCACACTATATATATATATATATATATATATATATATATGTGTGTGTGTGTGTGTGTTTGTGTGTATATATATGTGTTTATATGTGTATATATATATATACACACACAGAGCAAATAAGCACATAAAATATGTCCAACATCATTTTGTCATTAGGGAATTGCAAATTAAAATAAAAATGAGATACCACTACATACCCATTAGAATAACCAAAATCCTAAAAACTAACAATACCAATTACCAAAGAGGATGCAGAGCGATAGAAGTTCTCATTCACTGCAGTTGGGAATGCAAAATATTACAGCCACTTTGGAAGATAGCTGAATGGTTATGACAAAGCTAAACATAGTCTTATTATATGATCCAGCAATTATACTCCTAGGTGTTTCCAACTGATTTGAAAATGTATATTTATATAAAAAAATCTTAACATCAATATTTTTAGCCACTTTATTCAGCTAGTAAACCCTGGAAGTGACCAAGGTGTCATTCGGTGGGTGAAAAGGTTAAACAAACTTCGGTACATTCATATAGTAATTTATTGTCCAACAATATAAAAGAATGAGTTATTAAGCCACAAAATGACCCTGAGGGAGCTTATATGTATATTGGCATGTGAAAAAAGCCAGTCTTAAAGACTACATACTACATGATTTTAATAGGTTTTGTAAAATGCAAAACATATAGATGGTAAACTCAACCGCTTCTGTGGTTTTCGGTAAGGGAAGAGAGTTATGTAAGTCAAATATAGGAGATTATTTAGGGCACTGCAATTATTTTGTATGATATTGTAATGCTGGATACATTATTCCATAAAAAATGTAGAATGACAAATGTATGCGACAGTAACACTGAAGCAGTTAGGGGAAAAGTTGATGGCCTATGTATCCTGGTAAATGACTGGAGTCTGTTATACTAAAGGCAACTTATTTGCATATAAGCACCATACTCTAGGTGGTAAAGTTGTCCTCAATGGGGTATGAGTTAATGATTCTGATACCACTATACATGTATACTGGAATGAGCAATTAAGAAAATGGATGATGGATGATAGGTGCCAGTTACGTGATCTGTGAAAAGGTTGTATATGCAAAGTGACCCCCAAATGCACAAGGAGCCAAGAAATTAATGATGGGGGAAGATAAGTCTAGTGTATCCATTTTGCATGATTTATTAGGGGGACTACAGACGGAAGCATGATCTTGAGCAGGGGCAAGACAGGTGGATGGCTGTACCACACACCCAGGGCTTATATGTTGGGGAAAAAAGCATATGTGGTCTGGAAGGAATGTATAGGGGGCTACAGTTGTCACACCCTATGATTTCTGCAATGACGAGAGTTTTAGAGGAAACTTACAATGAATAGGTGTTCCTACTAAAGAGTAATGCATCAACTAGATATTTTGGAGGCATTCCTGAGCTTATGGTTAGTCAAAAGTTGGATGGCAGATTAGCATTGGAAATAAAGTCACTCGTGTCCCCACAAATAACAGTGCTGTTATGGGAATATGTAGATAAGTGAGGAAAGGAGGCTAGAATTACACACATCAATAGATCAGATGTGGAGACTTTAGTAAGAATTCATGTTTAGTTAATATAGATAACAGGTGACCACAAATAGAAATATTTCTAGAACTGTATATAAATGTTATACATATGTAGATATGTGTACAGAATGTGTTAGTATAACACATATATTTCCTTGTTCTGTCAGGTGGGAGAGCCTAAAAGCAGTAATATACCAATAGTAACAAGCACCCCAGCACAGATCTTGGTTTCTAATGCCATGCTTCATTAAGTAGAATAGGGTTTCTTGTAAAAGTTCCTGATTCTAGGCTGGGGCAAGATATATTTATGATGAGCCTCTTTCAGAGAGTAAGGAAGTCCTAACAAAACCCAAAACCTCACAGTGTTCAAGGTGTGTTAAAGAGCTACAGGAGCAAACTGAACAAGCTTCCAATGTCCAAGCCAGAACAATTCAAGCAATGAATTAAATAAAGTAATATTGTATTTTAATCCAAAGTTTTAAATAAATATCTGTGAGTCAATACTCATACAAACAAATGATTAAAGAAAGAAATAGGGGAGAATAGACATCGCTTGTGCAGAAGAATTCAAAATAATTTATTTTGATACTCTGCCCTCTAGGGGATAGGGCATAACTCTTACTCCTTAAGTGTGGGTTATGCCCTGTGACTCATTACTCAAAGAGTACCTTATGGAAAGGGGAGGTGGGGGGTAAGTAACTTTACAGTAGAGAAATCTGACAGACATTTCCCCAGTCAAGTGATCAAGGTTAACATCAATAGTCACATTGATGGTGTGATAAAAATGTCATTTTGCCTCTATGATCTTCCCCCCTAAAACCCACCGCCATAGTCTAATCACAAGAAAAACATCAGATGAATTCCATTTGAGAGATATTTTACAAAGTATCTGACCAGTACTTCTCAAAATTACCAAGGTTATCAAAAACAAGAAAAGTCTGAAAATGTCACAGCCTAGAGGATCCCATGGAAACATTATGAATAAATATATTGTGGTACCCCGGATAGGATCTTGGAACAGAATAGAGACATTAAAACCTAAGGAGTTCTGAATACATTGTGGACTTCAGCTGATAATAATCATGTGTCAATAATGTATCAATATTGTAAAAACTATATCAATATTGGTTTGTTCATTGTGACAAATGATCATACTAATATAAGATGGAAATAATACGGAAGCTAGATTTGAGATATATGGGAATTCCTTATCTTCACAATTGTTTTGTAATCAAAAACTTTAAAAACAAAAATGTTTATTTAAAAAAAACCTAAAGCACTACCCCAAATATAAATGTATTTTTCATATATGAGATGCAAAAATGCAATTGCATATATTTAATTTTGTTACTGATTATTTAATGAAATTTATTGTTAATGATTGAGAAATTGAGAACTCAACACTAATGTTTTTGAATGATATGAGGTGACTTTTCCTGGTGACTACAATTTGCTTTTTTACTTCATATTAATAATTCATCTTTATGGAAATGTAATATTTAACTGACAATTAAATGTTTTGATGGATGTCTATCTGAAATTACTCTTGAGGTTTAAGTTATGGATTTCACACCTGATGTGTTCCAGTGTGTGTCAATAACAAATTGAAAACACCTCTGTTTCACGGCCAGCTAAATGATCTCTATCAAATTGATAGTAAATATCCCTTCATGCCGTGTTTGCACAAAGCACAGCATACATTAGAGATCAAGTGTACGAGAAATATATTTAATTGGATATTAGTGAGACTGACATGCATATGAAAAACACATCAACTTAGAATATAATTTGAAGGTTACCTCTCCGTTTTTGTACAAGGAGTCTGTGTGAATTAATAATGCTCTTTTATATTTATATAATGCTCAGGAGTTTCATGCTTATATTCAATATAAAAATGACATGAACAAATTATTACCTGTTACTCAAACCAGATACAAAAGTTTTCAACAGTAGACATACTTTATTGTCATCATGACCTTTAAATATCCAAACTTATTATCAGCAACTTCCTTTTTTTTTTTTTTTTTGAGACGAAGTCTCACTCTTTCGCACCGGCTGGAGTGCAGTGGCGCAATCTCGGCTCACTGCAAGCTCCACCTCCCGGGTTCACACCATTCTCCTGCCTCAGCCTCCTGAGTAGCTGGGACTACAGGCGCCCACCACCACGCCCGGCTAATTTTTTGTATTTTTAGTAGAGACAGGGTTTCACTGTGTTAGCCAGGATGGTCTCGATCTCCTGACCTCGTGATCCGCCTGCCTCAGCCTCCCAAAGTGCTGGGATTACAGGCATGAGCCACCGCACCCAGCCTATTATCAGCAACTTTAATATTTAGATAATTAATCATTCTAATACCTAAATATATGAATTAATTATTAAATGAATCAACAACACAAATGTAGGAGTTCATTAGGAAGTAGGGGTGGTGTGTATTTCTTCATGATAGGGACACTGACAAAATAACAAATCAGTCAAAGATTGAAGTACATTTTGAAATTGAAAGAGATGTTTACAATAGGCAGTCACAAGTTTGTATACATCAACTCCACCACTGTCCACACTGTCCACACACCACTGTCCACAACTCATAGAAATAATTTTTTTTCTGATGTAATAAATTTGAAAGGAATGTAAAAATAGAAGAAAGAATAATTTTGAGGATTGGGATCACTTGTATATACAGAGCTTAACCATTGGGAAAGAGAATTGAGACTCATGTAACTATTTATTACTTTTTAAATGCATAAAGTTAAGGCTATGAGCAATAAAGAATTTATTCCATCAGGAAAATCCTGCAAACTAGTTGCCTAGGAATATAGTTTGCCCCTTTGGGCAAACATATCTCCAATGAGGACAATATATTGTTCATACTGGTATAGAGCTTGCTTATTAGACAACAGTTTGTGTATTAAGACTCATTTCAAGACTCTTCTCTCAGCCTTACAGTGTTCCATTATCTTGAACTATTCATCACAACCTTTTTTTCAAACCTAAGCATTCATCCACCTTAAAAACCTGCATTAAATCACTTGAGTCTGGAAACCAAAACCTCACAAAAAAGTTTACTCAACACCTTCTGCAATACTGCTCAGACTTTGTCACAATGGTGTGCACCCTTACAGTAAGAAGGTGGTCTAATTAACTTCCCTTGATAAAAATTTTTTTCTCTTGGTCTTTTTTGGATTCAACTGTTCATAATTCAGTTTTCTTTTTTTTTTTTTTTTTTTTTTGAGACGGAGTCTCGCTCTGTCGCCCAGGCTGGAGTGCAGTGGCGGGATCTCGGCTCACTGCAAGCTCCGCCTCCTGGGTTCACGCCATTCTCCTGCCTCAGCCTCCCGAGTAGCTGGGACTACAGGCGCCCGCCACCACGCCTGGCTAATTTTTTGTATTTTTAGTAGAGGCGGGGTTTCACTGTGTTAGCCAGGATGGTCTCAATCTCCTGACCTCATGATCCGCCCGCCTCTGCCTCCCAAAGTGCTGGGATTACAGGCGTGAGCCACCGCGCCCGGCCTTCAGTTTTCTTAAGTACTGAAGTATTGTAAACTTACAGTGATACAGCTTTTGTGTTCAACAAAAGTGAGAGCCTTGGATGCCCTATGAAAAAAGGGGCCTGACTGCAGAATTGTTCCTTGCTGTTTTAATTGCCCTCTCTTTGCTGTCATTGATGGGGAAACTGAGCACTGCTACTTGCTTAAGCTCAGGGAAACCATAGAGGCATACCTTAGTTACCTACCCTTATTTCTAACCTATACTTACTGCCCATGGGCTTCTAGATTACAGCTGTCCCAATCCATGTGATCACAATAGCTCCTCAGAGGCTATGCTTTCATTATAATTAGACTGGACTAAGGATACATTGCATTATATTAACCTGGACTCCAAGCATTGCAGTTCAGATATATCTCCTATAGCCAAACTTTTTAAGGAAAAACAATCTTCCTTCAGGGTGCCAGATGTAAAACACATTTGATCCACAACTACTTTACAGAGCTAGAACCAATGAGCTTATATGTTGTTGACCACAGGGCAGAGACAAGGGATTCCATATCCTCCAGTGCTCATTTTAAGGTCTGTATCTTTGTCCTCAAATTTGGTAATCTATCCTTGGGTAAGACTACATCAAACCATAAGATAATTGTGGTTTTGAAAGGAAGGGGTCATATGAATATTGCTCTCATAAGACCCCTCTGCTTCTATGTAAATTTGTGGGTGAAAATAAATGCATAAATAATAGGGTGACAGCTAACTCTTCATTTATCAATATGTGTATATATGCATATATGTATGTATATATGACTATGTCAGAATGAGAGTGACTTAGGAACTCTATTTGTCTATATATTCTTCCAAATACACTTGTGCGTGTGTGTGTGTGTTAGACTGATGAATCAGAAAACAAGATAATTAGGCTTCCTTTGATTGAATGGAATGAAATGTGTTGTGACAAAATGACCATTAACCATCAAACTATGGTTAATGCTAATGGAAACACAAAGATGAAAAAGGAAGACATTTCTTTTCTTTCCGATGGTGTATCACTTTTCCGTGAAACTCTTGAAATTGATCTTTGAATGGTGTGAATGTTTTAAATAACCATCATAGAAATTGAAGTTTGTTTTAGAAATAGATGTACATTTGGGGAACATGACTTTTTTTTCATTCAAGAAATGTTGGTTAGACATGGCCTTCTTTGTTGGGCCTTTACCTCTAGGGAACACACGATGCCATTTGGTTTGCCAGCTCAAAATGGTGGTGATGCTTTTTGGAGGAAGAGCACAACCATCTATTGTAACCTTCCATATTATGTATAATCAGAAAAGTTATTGATTACTACATCATTCTTTTGTTTCTATCCATTAGTAGTTGATTATTTATTTTCAATGTACGTTCATCCCATTATTCTTACACCTCTTTTTAGTTTGAAAGTTTCTCAATTTTTAAATTATTTAATTTGTAATTGGCACATAATACTTGTACTTATTTCTGAAATATGATGTTTTGATACATGTATCCATAGGGTAATGATCAAATCAGGGTAATTATGATACCCATCACTTTAAACACTTATCATTTCTTTGTGATGCCAGCATCCAAAGTATTTATTTCTAACCATCTTGTAATATACACTGCATTGCTATTTGCTGTACTTACCCTACTGAGTAATAGAACATCAAAGATTATTCTTCCTGTTTAATTGTAACTTTGCATCCATTGCTCATCCTCTCCCAGTCTTCCCTCCCCCATCCCTCCCCAGACTCTGATAACCACTATTCCACTCTTTACTTCTACCATTTGCATGGATATGGATGAACTAGGTGGGCATTATGTTGAGTTAAATGAGCCAGGCACAGAAGGACAAGCACTGAAAGGTTGCACTCACATGTGAAATCTAAAAATAATAATAAAAATATTTTATAAAATAAGAGACAGTTTTTCTAAGTAGCATTTAGTTTTTCAAATTGTGTCACATTCAGGCTTTCTCATTTTTTTAAATTTTATTAACATTTCTATTGTTTATTTTCCCACTAACATCAATAGTAAAAGCAAATATTTTGAACATTCAGGACATTAATTCCCGGAAGCAGGTTTAGGGAACAATGAATAGAACACAGTGACATTGTAAACCATTTCATTTTGTATATGCACAGTTGCTACCTAGATTCATGGGGAAGCTTGAGGATAATTTCAATAAAATATATAAGCAAAATATACCCATAAACTTACTTAATTCATTCCCAAAGGTGTTTTAAACTAATATTTTTGATTCTGGGCAGATCCAATTATTTTTCCCTTGGTAAAAATAATGTTTACTCATGATTAGATGGAAGCAGAATGAGTGAAAACTAACAGTCACTCAAAATTCCTGGGGACTATTAACCTCATTTACTCCTCAAAATAATATTTGGTTATGATAAAAAAACAGAATGTTACAAAGAAAAAGTGACTATTTCTACTTTAGTATTTGGCACAGTATAGTTTGAGATAACTCAGATTAAATTGCAAGGATAACATTCAAACAAAATCAATTACTTCATCCTACACAGGTTTATTTTTTTCTCACAATTTGTATCCATTTCAGTTCAATGTATATGGCCAGGGGTGGGGGTGGTTAGTTGATTACAGGACATTCACTTTATTTCACTCTCATTCAGAGACTCAGGCTGATCTGGCATCCTTAAGAAACACTGCTTGGCACCAGAGAGTGTCAATGGAGAGAAGTTGGCTGGGCTTGCCCGTGCAGTGATCAGCAGCCTCCTATTTGCGGAACAAGTTAAACAGCCATCTTCAACTTCATAGAAACAAGAAAGTGCAGCTCTACCATCCACATGCCAAAAAAGATATAATTTAAAATAAATATATTTTTAATAGACTTAGGTCTATGGGTACTGTGCACATTTTTATATAAAAGCAGAAAACTTGGTTTAAAAATTACTGAAGGCACTTTCACTTGAAATTGTATAGCTAAAGATTTTATATTCCTAGTGAATCTCAGACAATAGAATTGCTAAATTGCTAAGCATGTGACATAATCAATAGTAATAGACTGATAATTAGAAGTCAGTACCTTCGAAATACTGTTTGGATACTCATCAATTACAGAACATTAAATACCTGCAGCAATCACTCTAGTGGCCAGGGTTACTGTATATATAGGAAGGCAGTCATGAGAACATAAGAAAAAGCCCAGCAGGGGGAAGCACAAACTCAGTCTCTGGCTCTGATATGCAGTTATGTTTGTGTATAAACCAAAGATCCTACTGGTGCCTTAATACAACTAGTAACTAGACTGGGCTAAAAGAGAGAGGTGTTTCTTCCTCTACCTCTTAGTACATACATCACAGTAAAATACCAGAGAACACCATACTGATACATTCTACTTTTCCAAATATGCTTGGCTCTCAAGAGTAATGCTTGCTTCTCTGCTTTGCAACAAACCCATTTACTTTTCCTGACACCCAATCAGTCATGAAGAAAATCTTCATCTGATAATTTTCATTTAACAATTACTTGTGATACACTAAGCACTGAGTTACAAAATAAAAGAATGAAACATGAAGTGTTCACGATCTCTGGCCTAGAGGAGCTTGCCGTGAGGGGTGAAGGAGAAGCGCCAAAAAAATTACAGTACCATATGGTTAGTGCTCAAACAGCTCAAACTTTTACTAAAGGGACAAAAACAATTAACTTTGATTGAAGGAATTTGAGGAGTTTTCTGTGAAAGCGATCACGAATGAAATTAGAAGTTTTCCAAGTGCAAAAGGTGGAGGTCTTTAACAGAAAGAAACCAGTATGCACAAAGGATATTTGTAAGTATTGTTAACACAGCACGGGCATTACAGACCAGAGAGTAATGAGTGGTTTGCAACGAGGAATTGACAGAGGTTTTTATTGTTGTGGTTGTTAGTATTGTAGTGTTAGTATTGTAGTTGTTTTAATTAAAGGATCCAGATGATCAGATTTGTTTAAAAAATGATTCCCTAGCTAAACAATTACTTTAGCATTTTTGTCTTTACTTTTTATTTAATTATACCAGCCACTCAGTGCTACTTCTTGCCAATCCCCTCACAGATCTCTATAGCACTTACCCTTCATGATCCTAACCACTCAGGGTATTGCCCTGTCTATAGGTACTTTCTTCCTTGATCACCATGTCTAACACATTTTACAAGCAATCTTTCTCTTTTCCTTAGACCCATGTGGACTGTCTTTTGTTTCAGTATTTCATTCTTCATTTAATTTCCTTTCCCTTTCCTTCCTTTTATTTAACTAGCAGCTTTGGGACTACATGTGTGTGGCTTTTCCTTAATTATAGATACCCTTGTGGATTATTTTATCCAGGTTTTAATCTTCATAATATGTTGTAAATAAGGCAAATAATATTATTTCTGCATTTTGAAAACCTCATTTGGAGGGCTGTCTCCATGAACTACCAATTTTGCTTTAGTGAAAAACAAAAAGGGTAAAAGTATATTTTCCTTACCCATACATTCCACTTCCAGCAGCACACTGAGTATCAAATAGGACTTATATATTGAAAATATAAGAGGAAGCAAGTCATAAAACGTGGCCAAACCACTATCAGAGAATCTTGACATATAATATAGATCATGTCATACTTGTCATACTTTCTAAAGGAATGGATGGTTTAACTTTTATATGTAACTAACACCATGCTCAGTAAACAGTTGTGTAATTGATTACTTAATCCTAAAATTGTATTAATGAAATAGTAATGATTTTCCCAGTTAAACATGCCACTAATCTTAATATTAGAATTTAACTTACCTAACAGTACATAGAGTATTCAATTATGCTGCTTGGAAGTCAGAATTTCATCCATAGATTATCAGAGGTTTGATAGTGTGTGTCCTTGAATCTCTATGTGCATGTTAATGTCTTATCAGAATTAATAAATATTTTTAACTGTACATGAGGTATATTTGGTTTGAAATACAGGGTTAACCATCTTACTATCTTATTCGTAATCAGATGGAACATAAAGTCATTCACCTAGAAAATACTAGTAAATGTGGATGTATGTTTTATACTCTAACACAGGTCATCTGCACGACCCATTTCTCAATGAACCTCTCTGTTCATGACCTGTTACTTTAGGATCTGAAAATGTTATGATCTTCCAACACCCACCTCTGAGATGACCTGACCCTTCACCTGAATGGGTGAAATTCTGTGCAGTGTTTTGAAATAGAATTAGCCCCTGACTTACAAATGACCATTATACTCATTTTATGCCTCTCTTGTAAAATGATCTCTGCAGAAACCATCTGCCATTGCAATGGAAGCCACCAAGGAAATAAACATACTGAATGTATGTTCACAGTAAGGAATCCTCTATCACTGCCTTGTCCTGGGTCACACTCAGGATGAAATTGATAGATGGCTGTATAAACCTATTTTGAAAATTTGGGATTCTACCCTGATCATTACTGGACATCATGCTACCTTCTTAGTGTACATCAAGGTGCTAGTTTTCCCAAAGAGCTGCAGCAGACACACAGAAATCAGCTTTAGCTACCTGGTTTCTCTTGTTGGATTGATATGGTCCTAGATCCTAAGCATAATGACCACTTGCTTTAGTAAACTGCTCTCTCATTCTCCCTAAAGTACCCAACACCGGCCAAAGTGAGGGTACAATAGTTATACGTAAATTTATAAAAATGGTCTTGGCAATCTAGCACTTGGCAATTTCAAACTGAAAGTTTGGGTATGAATAAGAGATGACTAAAAAATAGGTGAAGTTATAGCTATTGGAAGGGAATGCACTGACTTTGTAGTAATAACGGTGAACAAAAACCCCTGATCCTGTGGAGAGAATATTTTAGGTCCTAGGAAGTGCTGGGGATGAAGAGACATTAATGATTTTTGTCTTTAAAACACCCTTGAAACTGGATCCTCATCTCTCGCCTTATACAAAAAGGTGTTTTTACTATTTTTGTGCCCGTTAACCACCCATACACACCGCCCAAAACCCCCATTGACTGTCATAGCCTCTGGTAACCATCCTTCTACTCTCAATGTCCACGAGTTCAATTATTTTGATTTTTAAATCCTACAAATAAGTGAAAACATGTGATGTTTGTCTTTCTGTGTGACCTAGGATGTTTGTTTCATCTTTCAGCATCAATAAAATTGTGACAGATTAGCTGTTTGATTTACCAGTAGAAAAAAAAATCTTAGTCCTTCACAGGTTTTGACATAGAGATATGCCAAACTGCAAAAGAACTTATCTGCCTCCAAAATATGTTTTAATTCTATTCACTGTTTCCCTCTTTGCTACTACTTCCTATTCCAACCTTCATTTCATCTTTAAATTACTGCAAAATCTTTTATGCCCCACCCCATTTATATTCAAGAAAGCAAAATAAAATTTTTAAAACATAAATTAATTATGCTATTCCAGTTGTTGTAACCCCTTAATGATTTTTTCTCAAATGTAAATCATAACCCTCATGCTTTGCTATGACCTACAATGTTCTGTGCCATTTGGCTTTTGGCAGTCTTTACAAACTTGTAGCCTAGCTCTCTTCTCCTTGCTCACTATTTTACAGCAATATAAGCCTATGATAAGGTCCTTGAATACATGCAGGTTTTCTTTTTCACCAGGCCTTTTCAAATGATGCTATTATATCTGATAGCAAAAGATTTTCAAGTTAACTAAAAGGTGTATATTATCTCATCACCTAGATGGAATATCACATCTTTGGAGAGGCATCAACTAAGCATCCTACTGAAGCATATTACATTCTGTTCTTATTTGTTTCTTTAATAATGTGTATCACAGTGATTTTTTATATATTTACCTGCATATTAAAATGCTGTTTTTATTAAAATATAAGCATCATGATAACTTGGATTATATTTGTTTTACTCCTAGTTGTATCCAGAGATTAGCACTTTTATGGAGACAATTCTGTTACCACAAAGATTCATATGAAGACCTAACCTAAGTACCTAAGAATGTGTCTATATTTGAAGACAGGGCCATTAAAAGGTCATTGACTTAAAATGAAGCAGTTATGGTGGGTTCTAATCCAACCTTACCAGTGTCCTTATAGAAAATTTGGGTACCCAGAGAGACCCCAAAGATACAGGCAGAGAGGAAAGACCACTAAGGACACTGTGAGAAGGCAGCAGTCTGCAAGTGAAGGAGAGAGGCCTCTGGAGAAAACAAACTATATTAGTCTGCTCCCATGCTGCTAAAAAAGACATACCTGAAACTGAGTAATGTATAAAAGAGGTTAAATGGACTCACAGTTCCACATGGCTGGAGAAGCCTCACAATCATGGCAGAAGCGAATGAGGAACAAAGTCATGTCTTACGTGGTGGCAGGAAAAAGAACATATGCAGGAGAACTCCCCTTTATAAAACCATCAGATCTCATGAGACTTACTCTCATGAGAACAACATGGGGAAAAAAACCTCTTCACATTTCAAAACCAAGCATGCCTTCCCAACAGTCCCTAGAAGCCTTAACTTACTTCAGCATTAACTCAAAAGTCCACATTCCAAAGTCTTATCTGAGAGAAGTCTAATTCCTTTTACCTATGAGCCAGTAAAATCAAAAGCAAGTTAGTTACTTCCTAGATACAATGGGGGTGCAGGCATTGGGTAAATACAGGGAGAAATTGGCCAAAATGAAGGGGCTACAGGTCCCAAGCAAATCCAAAATCCAGCGAGGCAGGCAAGTCATAACCTCCAAAATGATCTCCTTTGACCCTGTGTCTCACATCCAGGGCACACTGATGCAAGAGGTGGGCTCCCACTGCCTCGGGCACCTCTACCCTTGTGGCTTTGCAGAGTACAGCTACCCACATGACTGCTTTCATGGGCTGGCCTTGAGTGTCTGTGACTTTTCCAGGCACATGGTGCAAGCTGTCAGTGGATCTACCATTCTAGGGCATGGAGGAAAGTGACCCTCTTCTCACAACTCCAGTAGGCAGTGCCCCAGTGGGTATTCTGTGTGCAGGCTCTGACCCCACATTTCTCTTCTGCACTGCCCTAGCAGAGGTTCTCCATGAGGGCTCTGCCCTTGCAGCAAACTTCTGCCTAGACATTAGGCATTTTCATACCTCCTCTGATAGGTAGGTGGAGGTTCCGAAACCTCAATTCTTGACTTTTGTGAGCCTACAGGCTCAATACCACATGGAAGTTGCCAAGGCTTGGGGCTTGCACCCTCTGGAGCCACCACCTGAGCTGTACCTTGGCCCCTTTTAGCCATGACTGGAGCAGCTGGGAAGCAGGGCACCAAGTTGCTAGGCTGCACATGCTAGGGGTGCCTGGGCCCAGCCAATGAAGCCATTTTTTCCTCATAGGCTTCAGGCCTGTGATGGGAGGGGCTGCCGCAAAGGTCTCTGACATGCTCTGGAGATATTTTCTCCATTGTCTTGGTGATACCCATTGGTATCCTTGTTACTTATGCAAATTTCTGCATCAGGCTTGAATTTCTCCCCAGAAAATTGGGTTTTCTTTTCTACTGAATCATCAGGCTGCAAATTTTCCAAACTTTTATGCTTTGCTTCCTCTTCAACATATTGCTGCTTAATAATTTCTTCGACCAAATACATTAAATCATGTCTCTCAAGTTCAAAGTTCCACAGATCTCTAGGGCTGGGGCAAAATACCGCCAGTGTCTATACAGCAAGAGTGACCTCTACTCCAGTTTCAACAAGTCCCTCATCTTCATCTGAGACCACATCAGCCTGGGCTTTATGGTACATATCACTATCAGCATGTCGGTCAAAACCATTCAACAAGTCTCTAGGAAGTTCCAAACTTTCCCACATCTTCCTGTCTTCTGAACCCTGTTCCAACCTCCACCTGTTACCCAGTTCCAAACTTACTTCCACATTTTTGGGTATCTTTACAGCAGCACCCCACTCTACCAGTACCAATTTATTGTAGTAGTCTGTTCTCATGCTGCTAATAAAGAAATACCCAAGACTGGGTAACTTATAAAGAAAAGAGGTTTAATTGACTCACAGTTCCACATGGCTGGGGAGGCCTCACAAGGGCAGAAGGCAAATGAGGAACAAGTCATGTCTTACATGGTGGCAGGCAAGATAGCATGTGCAGGGGAGCTCCCTTTTATAAAATCATCAGATCTCAAGAGACTTCCTCACTAACATGAGAACAACATAGGAAAATCCTACCCCCATGATTCAATTACCTCCCACCAGGATCATCCCATGACACAGATAAGTAAATATTACAATTCAAGGTGAGAGCCAAACCATATCACAAACCAAATCTTGATCTGACTTCTAGCTTCCAGAACTGTGGGAAAATAAATTTCCGGTGTTGAAGTCACCTAGTCTGTGACTTGTTACAACAGCCCTAGCAAATGAACATAACCATTATATTACAACATGATGCATCCTAAATTTATATTCATTAAACCAAGGCACTAACAAAAAACTATAAGCAGAAACTCATAAAACATCTATTCCCCAATGCTCATGTCTGAGCTACCGAGAAATGTTATTTTAGTGTTCATCATAGTGGAATAAGAAAGTAACTCTTTTCATTCAAAAATGTTACAGAGTCAACTTTGCAGAAAAAGGAAAAAAGAAGGAAGACAGATGATGTACTCTTTGTTGTTGACAATGCTAAAGATGGAGTCTATGAGATAGCACAGCTCTTGATAAATGACGATACAGTTTTTTCCATAGGATTTTTGAATGATGGGGCCTATAGTCAGTGATATCAGAATATTTCTTTTTGCTTAAGGTGTTTTATAGAACTAAATCTAAATGTTATCAGAGCAAACTATGTCTGGATAAGTGAACGGAATGCCGAAGAGATAATCTTTCTCTGAGATATTGCATTGAATGTAATATTTATTGATTTCTATCATCTTTATTTTTAGGAGCAAAGTTTGTTCTGGGTCAGAGTGTACATTTGTTCCTGTACCTCTTGTCTTTCAAAGCTCTTTTCCTTTTCTCATATTTAAAATTTTCTGATACCCTTTTTTATCACTCCTTTCCTTGGTCAAAACTGCTTTCAGAAAAGAATCAATAATCAGATATTTATTCTTTCATATGAACTACTATTTAACTGATCCTGGGGATATTTACACATTAAATCATATCTTTAATTACTGAGTGGCAAAGCCTTATGAAAATAAACTGAATGAGCAGATTTGGGAGTTGGAAAGTTTTCCGTGGGAGTCCTGAAGATATTTACATCCACCTTTGCTTCTCTAAACACCAGGCTTAAATCCAATATACTGTAATGAAAAGCAAAGGTCCCATCAGGTTTCACAGATTATCTTTTTAAAAGACTCGTATCTTTGTCATCTAACAGTCTATGTTTGAGACACTTTTGGAATATGAGTTACAACGCCATTATGGACCACAGCTAATTAGGCCAGGCATGGACAACTTACTAGAAGACAATTTGCTTTGCCTAATGTGGTTGCAAATGAAAATTCTTCACAATAGGTAAACTGTTAACTTGTTTCAATTAGCAAATCGAGAATTTTCTCTCTGAGATTCTGAATATAAGACATGAATGAGAAATGCAAGAACGGACAATGAGGCAGAGGGAGACACATACTGCAATGCAGATGAGAAGAGACATTATTTCACACTCAACAGGCACTTCTTGAGTATATGTAGGGAACTGTGCTAGATACTAGACATCAAGAAGAAAAAAAGTAAATTAACACATGCCCTAAGTAGAAGTCATGAGGCAATAAAAAGCAGAAGTAATCAGTATCTAAGAGGTATAGTTTGCTTAGATATTAAAATAAAGATTTAATATTTTATCATGCAAGAGTAGGAAAGGTATTATATTAAAATCCCAAGTATACATCATCAAATATTTAGAAACCTATCAACAGTCTTATTTCATCTATGTGCCATCCACAGCACAACTCAACCCCCTCTTTCAGATTATTTTGTCCCAGATAACAAATCAATTTATATGAATATTTAAGTATCTTTCCCTAAATGATTGGGATTCAAAAACTAAAATCCATTATAGAATTATTCCACCTAAAATATTTAACAGTAATTTCTCAATAATATTAAAGATCCAGTCAGTTTTCACACATCTGATTGCCTAATACAGTAGCTCTTAAACTATTTGACTTCAAGAAAGCTTTACACTCTTAAAGAATATTAAAATTCCTAAACATCTTTTGCCTTATGTGTGTTATACCTATTAATACTTATTTTATCAGAAATTGAAAGTTTTGTTATTCATTCATTTAAAATATCAATGAAATAAATCCATTTTAACACAAATACCACCTTTTATGAAAAATAACTATATTTCTTCCTTAAATGTGAGAACAGTGACATTATATTTTTCAAAATCCCTTCAATATCTTGCTTAATAGAAGACTGTTACATTCTCATATCTGATTTTGTATTCAATATGTTGCTATATATTGTTTTGGTAGAAGTGTGTAAAGACATTTGGGCCTGCCACACATATGCAGCTAGAAAAGGAAGAAGTATTTTGAATAGTATTTTTAGGTTATTGTGGATATTATTCTTTGCCACTACACCAAAGTGAGACAAGTGAGAATTTCTTAAAGATTATTTGAATTGTGAAATCTGAACTATATCAATGAGCTTTTTAAAAACGACTCTATGTTAAAATGCATTATACTATCTAATATGGTTTGGCTCTGTGTCCCCAACCAAATTACATCTCGAATTGTAATCCCCAAGTGACCATGGAGGGACCCGGTGGGAGGTCATTGGATCATGGGGGTTGTTTCCCCCATGCTGTTATGGTGATACTGAGTGAACTCTCAGGAGAGCTGATGGTTTTATAAGTGGCAGGTTCCCCTGCTCTCTCTTTCTCCTGCCGCCTTGTGAAGCAGGTGCTTGCTTCCCTTTCTGTCATGATTCTAAGTTTCTTGAGGCCTCCCCAGCCATGCGAACTGTGCATCAGTTAAACCTCTTTCCTTTATAAATTACCCAGTCTTGTGTAGTATCTTTATAGCAGTGTGAAAAGGACTAATACACAGTTTTGTATACAGAATAGATTTTTTTTGCTGTTTCATGCTTTTGCATCATCAAGTAATGATCATTTTGAAAGATTTGATTACTGCATTATACAGGTCATCCAAATACTAACACATTTTAGCATATAGTATTTAAAAGCCACATTTTTAGGATTAATCAATGATCTCCTAATGCATGTATTTAAGTATTGAGGTAAAGTCATGCTAATAATGGTGATGCAAGATTTTAAATCTTGAATTTTTTCTCAAAAGTGCACTTGTTTTCATTGGTAACAAATACTGTCCAGTTGTTTGCTTTAATGTGAAAAGCTCACTCTGTTTATTTTTCAAGAAAGTAACAATTGGCCAATTATAAGTAACTGTAGAGTGACAGTATTTTCTTCAGTTCAAATAATAAGAAATTTTTTTTTTTGAGATTTACTTCAGAGGGCATATGTGTCTTATTCTTCCTTTCCATTTAGTCACACATTATATTGAAAATACACAAGGGTCAAGACTGAATAGAATTAATTATTTTTATTGCCTTATCAAGAATATTCTTAAGTGAAACTAGTTTCCAGATCAGTTTAATATTTATTAGGCATAAGTATTTTTTAAATAAACTTTTTAGTTGAGAGTAGTTTTAGGTTTTCAGAAAAGTTGTGACGTTAATACAAATAATTCCTTTTTACCTCATACCTAGTTTACCTACTATTTATATCCTACATAAATATAGTATATTTATCACAATTAATGAATCGATATTGACAAGTTAACATTACCTAAGATCCATAATTTATTCAAATTTCCTTAGTTCTTACCTAATGTCCCTTTTCTGTTTCAGGACACCATATTACATTTAGTAGTCGTGACTCTTTGGGTTCCTTTTGACTGTGGCAGCATCTCAGGGTTGGCTTTTTTTTTTTTTTTTTTTTATGACCTTGATACTTTTGAAGAGTTCTGGTTAGGTATTTTGAAGAACGTCTGTCATTTGGGATTTGTCTGATGTTTTTCTCATGATTAGAGTGGTGCTATGGTCTTGGGGCAATAAAGTGACATTTTCATTGCATCATATGAAGGGTACATGCTATCAACATGATTTATCACTGTTGATACTGACCTTGATTACCTGGCTGAGGTAGTATATGTCAGGTTTCTCCACTGCAAATTTATCTTTTTAAAATGCTTTCCATACTGTACTCTTCAGAAAGAAGACACTTGCTCTGTCCACACTTACAGACTGCTGGGGAGTTATGCTTCACCTCTCTGAAAGTAAAGTAACTATGTAATTATTTGGAATTCTTCTGTGTGGGGTATATGTTTATTAGTCTTTATTTATTTAGCTTGCAATAATTTATTCATAAAATTGGCTTGTTTTGTGATTCATACTCAGGTGCCAGTATTTTAACCAGCTTTGCTATTGTAACAATGCAAATATTGAACAGTGAGAAAAGGAAAATATCATCGTATTATTGCAAAAGTAGTTTTGACCTTATGAATATTCTGAAACAATCTTGTTGAATCCCAAGGTCTATGGGCCATGATTTGAGAACTACTGACCTTTTGTGTTTTTTTGCTTTATTGCATTTGTTTGTATTGATTTATTTTAGGTCAATGCATTATGGTTGGATAATATGTAGCTGAAGTCTCTTTTTATTCATAAGTTTCTGCCTGTTGTGAACTGAATTATTTCTACCAAAATTTATATGTTGAAGTTCTAATCTGCAGTACCTCAGAATGTGACTCTATTTGGAGACAGACCTTTACAGAAGTAGTTAATGTAAAATGAGGTCATGTGGGTGAGTTCTAATCCAATATAACTGTTGTCCTAAAAAGAGAAGAGATTAGGAGTAGATAAGACAAAGAGAAGACTGTGTGAAGACAAAGGGAAAAGACAGCCATCTACAAAGGAGAGAAGCCTCAGAATGAAACCAAACCTGTCAGCACCTTGATCTTGGACTTCCAGCCTTTGGAGCTATGAGGAAATAAATTTCTGTTGTTTAAGCTATCCAGTCCATTGTACATTGTCATAGCAGCCCTAGCACAGTAATATACTCTCCATCTTTTTTTTTTTCTGTCATGTTCTTTTGTTGCTTATTTGTCATGTTTGCTGAAGAAATTTGGTTTTTCATACTGTAGAATTTCTTACCTTGTAGATTGTGATAAATACACACCTGGGATATCATTTAACTTGTTCCTTTGCCTTAGGCATTGAAGTAAATCGGTGGTTCCTTCTATAGGAAGCTTTATGCTCATTTTTTTCGACATTACTACATAAGCCATGTTATATATTTTCATGAGGATTCGCACAATGTCTGGGGAAAATGTATATTTGTATGAACTTAGCAATCCTTTGTGATTATTGTCTATAAAGTATAATTTAATTTTTAAAATTGGAAACCATCTAAATGCAGACAAGCCTGAGTTGTGGGAGGGCTCAATTTGATAAGGCATGTGAAGGCATGGGCATCTCACCTCCAATGCACCCCTTCAAGTTACTTATTGTTAGAATCCATATTCTATAAAGAAGAAAACTGAACTTATGGGAGGTCAAGTGGTTTACCTGAAATCACACATCATTATTACAGCTGGGGTATGAAATTATGTTCATTTACATGCCTGTGCTCTTTCTCCTTCATCACTGACTTCCTAGAAGACATAGAAAAAATACGAAGAGGGTGTTAGATAATGACAGCAGACTATGTAACAGAAACATTACTAATAAAATGTTACATGATTATAAAGAAGGGTAAATGCAGAAAAATGATAGCATATTGATTTCATTGTGATTAGCCTGATTAAGAGAAAATTTCTCTTTAATTCTTAGTAACATTATTATCTTATTTCAAGACAACAATGGAGGTATCTTGGTTTTTTTTTTAACCACTTTGAAGAACTTTTGAATGTAGACTAATGTGGGAGCCAGTGAAGTGAACAGATCATTCAAAGAGAAAGCAATCTTTTCTGAAGAAAGATGAATGCTGAGTGTGACTGCCAGGTTTCATCAATCAGTTATCATTTATGGTACAAATTGTAGTTTGATTAATAGGTTTTCTCACCAGTAACTGACAATGGTAATAATATATACGTCAAACTGCTAGTGCAAATATCAGTTATATAAAAAAAGTAAAACAACCCTATGCTTTAGAAACTAAATATATCCATATATGTTTATACATAAATATATTTATAATTTGATTTGAAACTCATAACAACATTGAGATATAGATACTATCATAATATTAGGTTGGTGCAAAAGTAATTGCTTTTTTGCCATTAAAAGTAATGGGAAGTATTTTATATCTTATAGAGAAAGATCAGATACAAAAAAATGAGGTTCAGAAATGCTCAAGGTCACTTTGCTATGAAATGATAGAACCAAGAAATTACAGAATGGCATCTGATAATGTTAGATTCCAAAACATATGCATTACACTATGTATATTATAACTCACATACTACTTTAAAAGATTATATCCAGAGCTGTCAATTGCTTGAACAAAGTGTTTCTTCAAGTATTTGGATTATTGTGCCTATATAGATTTAACAGCAATGTACAAGCCACATATTGTGTTTTATTTTTTTTTTTAAAAGAAAAGCCTTGTCACGTTTGGAGGAAGAAAGTAATTCCACTAGGCATTAGCTTTGTAGAGATCATCTCCTTTTTTATACATCAACCAATAATTACATTTGATATTGGGATCCATTCATTTTAATCAAACTAACAAGTTTATTTATTTCCTGGGAATTCTTCCATGATGGAGTTTAACTCTTAGTAGAAGATCTATAAAACCATAAAACTATGTTCTGTGAAGACCTTTTGTCCTATTATTGTTTGTTTATATAATATGATTTCATATCTAGCACTCGCAATATAATGGGAGAACTGAAGCAGAGAAACAAAGGAAAGATGAGACCTTGCAAACTATCTAAATCAACAAATAAAATTTTGTTCTACAGAGCGGAGGATCAATAAAGAACACAAGATTTTAATCTACCATCTGTTACGGGATCTCTGGGGTATCGATTTTTCTGGCTGATTTCTGGCCAGAAATCTCTGTGGCCATGGCGTCTTTGCCTGAGTTCTTGTCCTGCATCCAGGAAGAATGAGGTATGCAGACAAGTGAAGGGTGAAGAAGAGTTTTATATAGTGTTAGAACTGCTCAGAGGAGTGGGTAGTCCCTCTGCCAGCAGGTGATCTCCAGCTCTCAGCAGAAAGGTTACGCCTGTCTGCATCTGGTCGTCCCATTGTCTCCAGCTATCAGCAGAGAGGGTACTCTCTGCCCTCCTCGTCCTCTGGCCGTCCTCTGTCCTGCTCTGGCTGAGCCCAGGGCTTTTGTTGACCTCAGAGGGGAGGAAGTGTGTGCTGATTGGCCCATGGATGGCCATGGGCACCCGGAAGAGGCACCGGGAATCCCCATTCCAGTCTGGGGGACTGGCAGTCAGGCCCCGAGTCTTCAGGTCCTCCCTGGCCTGAAGGTAGGACCTTACTGGGGATCCACCCCTTTCTGCCCAGGGATCAATCTGCCTCCCGCTGCCATTCATGGCCTCAACTCCCACTCTGAGATCAGAGCAGGTGCTGGGAGTGGAGAGAGGCCAGGCCGCTACCACCGAGGCTGCAAGGATGGTGGGGCGTCCTTCCTGGAGCCCACAATGGTGCAGGCTTCAGAGACGCCTGGGTCCTGCACCTGGGAGGGCAGCTGCAACTGCACCTGGGAGCTCCCACCCTGCCAACTCGAAGAGGCAGGTCTCCTGCTTGTCCCTGCTTCCTGCCTGTTTCGTGGAACGGGAGGCCTAGGTCTGCAGCTGTAGGTCCCATGGCTGCGGATGCACCCGAAAGGGCAGATCCTGCCTGTTTCCGGCTCCCCCAAGAGCACAGGGAGGCTGGGATCCACAGCTGCAGTTTGGGCTGCTGCAGTCCCACCCAGGAGGCCGGGCTCCTGTTTGCTCCGTAGGCCTGGGTCTACAGCTGCTGAGTGGGTGACTGCAGAAGCACAGGGAGCTCCTGTCCCAACTCAGAAGGGGTAGTGCTCCCACTGGCTCTATGGAGTGTGCAGCCCCAGCCTTGCCTCCCTGCTGCAGCCAGCATGTTGGCAGCAGCCACTGCCATCACCCCCAAACCCCGTATTTAAGGATATTTTGGTGTATTTTAGCAACAAACAACATAAAAATAAAGTCAACTTTGAAAAATAAATGACCCATAAGCAGCACCTAAGTTTAAGAATTTATGTCATATATAAGTTTATGTATGTGTGTATATATAGTGAATATAGTTATAATTTCAGAGGAGTATTATTATCTATCTGGGTTTTGTTTAGAAGTAGAAAGTATTGAAATTTTTAGAAAATAAATAAGCCTATCAGTTTATTATACATATAGAGCTACAGGACAGTTAAAAAAGCTGAAGAAAAGAAGGTCAGAAAAACTGCTGTCAGGAAATGTGGATGCAGAGACCCAGGGATTCAGGGAAGCTGCTGACAACCATCTTAGCTGCCTCTTAGAGCAAAAATTGATCATTTTCAGAACAACCAGAGTCCATGGAGGTAGGGTTGCAAGATATAGCACAAGATGCTCAATTAAATGTGAATTCCAAAGAAACAACATTGTTTCTTAGATTAAGTATGTCCCATTTATTGCATGAAATATACCCATGCTAAAAATGCTCATTGTTTATTTGAAATTCTGATTTAACTGAACATCAGTTTTTTTTTTTTTGTTTAATTTTGGTAAGAAGACAACATGAGATGTACCCTCTAAAAAGATTTTTAAGTGTACAATACAATATTATTAAACAGAGGCATAATGTTGTACAGCAGATCTCTAGAAGGTGTTCATCTTGCATTACTCGTTCTTTATATTAATTGATTAGCAACTCGCTATTTCCCAGTGGCCATTGCCCCGGCGACCACCATTCTACTTTCCACTTCTGTGAGTTTGACAATTTAGATACTTAATATAAGTGGTATCAAGCAGTGTCTTTTTGTGATTGGCTTATTTCACTTATCATAATATTCTCAAGTTTCTTCCATGCTGTCACATATTGCAGGACTTCTTTCCTTTTTTTGAAAACCTGAATAATATTTTATGGTATGTACATACCACATTTTCTTAATCCGTTCATTCCTCAGTGAACATTTAGGTTGTATCCTTATCTTGGCTATTGTGAATAGTACTGCAATGAACATGGGAATGCTAATATTTCTTTGAGATACAGATTTCAATTCCTTTGGATACATTCTGAAGTAGAATTGCTGAATCATATGGTTGTTCTATTTTTAACTTTTTGAGAAACCTCCATACTGTTATCCACAGCGGCTGTGCCATGTTGCACTCCTACTAACAGTTTACAAGAGTTTCGATTTCTCCAAATCTTCACCAACACTTGTTTTTGTCTTTTTCATAGCAGCCACTCCAGTAGCTGTGGAGTGATATTTAACTGTAGTTTTGCTTTTCATTTCCTTGATGATTTGTGACTTATTGGATGTCTTTTCGTGTAACTGTTTGCCATCTGTAAGTCTTTGGGGAAATGTCTTTTTAATCCCTTTGCACATTTTTCAATTGGATTGTTAGTTTTTTTGCTATTCAGTTGTAGGGTTTTCTTATACATTTGGAAATTAACCCCAATTTGATATATAATTTGCAAATATGTTCTCACAATTCATAGATTTTCATAGATTGTTTTTTCACCCCATTGATTGCTTCCTTTGCTGTATAAGTTTTTTAGTTTAACGTAATCTGATTTGTCTATTTTTGCTTTCTTGGCTATGCTTTTGGTGTTGTATCAAGTGAATTCACTGCCTAGACCAATGCCATGAAACTTTTTCCTATGTGTTCTAGCAGTTTTACAGTTTTGGGTCTTATGTTCAAGTCTTGAATACATTTTGTTTGAATTTTTGCATGGGGTAAAATAAGGGTCCAGTTTCATGCTTTTGCATAAATATCCAGTTTCTCTAACACAACTTGCTGGGAAAAGGAGCTATTGTGTATTCTTGGCAAACATGTTGAAGATCAGATAAACTATATGCGTGGATTTATTTCTGGATTCTATTCTCTTTCAGTGGTCTATATGTCTGCTTTTCGTTCAGTATCATACTGTTTTAATTACTGTAGCTTTGTAATATATTTTGAAATTACAAAGTGTGATTTGTTCTTCCTTCTCAGAGTTACTTTGCATATTCAACATCCATATTAGTCCGTTCTCATGCTGCTAATAAAGACATACCTGAGATTGGGTGATTTATAAATAAAAAGAGCTTAAATGGACTCACAGTTCCATGTGACCGAGGGGGCCTTACAATCATGGTGGAAGACAAAGGAGGAGCAAAGTCATGTCTTACATGGTGGCAGGCAAGAGAGACTGCATGCACAGGGGAACTCCTCATTATAAAATCATCAGATATCATGAGACTTATTTCATGAGATTAGCAAAGGAAGGACCCACTCTCATGATTCAGTTACTTCCCACTGGGTCCTGCCCACAACAAGTGGGAATTATGGGAACTCCAATTTGAGACTTCGGCAGGGACAGAGACAAACCGTATCATTTCACCCCTGGCCCCTGCCAAATTTCATGTCTTCACATTTCAAAACCAATCATGTCTTCCCAACAGTCCCCGAAGTCTTAACTCATTTCAGCATTAACTCAAAAGTCCACAGTCCAAAGTCTTATCTGAGACCAGGCAAGTCCCTTCTGCCTATGAGCCTGTAAACTCAAAAGCAAGTTAATTACTTCCTAGATACAATGGGGTACAAGGATTGGGTAAATACACCCGTTACAAATGGAATAAATTGTCCAAAACAAAAGGGCTACAGGCCCCAGGCAAGTATAAAATCCAATAGGGCCGTCATTAAACCTTAAAGTTCCAAAATGATCTTTTCTGACTCTGTGTCTCACATCTAGGTCATGCTGATGCAAGAGGTGGGCTCCCACGGCTGTGGGCAGCTCCACCCCGTGGCTCTTGCCTGCTGCTTTCATGGGCTGGCAATGAGTGTCTGCAGCTTTTCTAGGTGCACAGTGTAAGCTGTCAGATCTACAATTCTGGGGTTTGGAGGATGGTGGCCCCCTTCTCACAGCTCCACTAGGCAGTGCCCCATTGGGGACTCCCTGTGGGGGCTCCCGCCCTACATTTTCCTTCTGGGCTACCCCAGCAAAGGTTCTCCATCAAAGTCCCGCCCCTGCAGTAAACTTCTACTTTGACATCCAGGTATTCCTATACATCCTCTGAAATGTAGGTGGAGGTTCCCAAACCTCAGTTTTTGACTTCTGTGCACCTGCAGGCTTAACACTACAGGTAAGCAGCCAAGGCTTGGGGCTTGCACCCTCTGGAGCCATGACCTAGCTGTACCTTGGCCCGTTTTAGCCACAGATGGATAAGCTGGGATGCAGGGCACAAAGTTCCTAAGCTGCACACATCAGGGGGACTGTGGGCCGGTCCGGGAAACCATTTCTTACTCCTTGGCCCCTGGGCCTGAGATGAGAGGGGCTGGTGTGAAGGCCTCTGACATGCTCTGGAGACATTTTCCCCATTGTCTTGGTGATTAACATTGGGCTCCTCCTTACTTATGCAAATTTCTGCAGGAGGCTTGAATTTCTCCCCAGAAAATGAATTTTCTTTTTCTGTTGCATCATCAGACTGCGAATTTTCCAAACTTTTATTCTCTGCTTCCTCTTGAACACTTTGCTGCTTAGAAATTTCTTCTACCAGATACGCTAAATCATCTCTTTCAAGTTCAATGTTTCATGGATCTTTAGGGCAGGGATGAAAAGCCACCAATCTCTTTGTATAGCAAGAATTATCCTTACTCCAGTTCCCAACATGTTCCTCATCTCTGAGACCACCTCAGCCTCGACCTTATTGCCCATATCACCATCAACATTTTGGTCAAAGCTATTCAAGGAAGTTCCAAACTTTCCCACGTCTTCCTATCTTCTGAGCCCTCCAAGTCCCTGGGAAGTTCCAAACTTTCCCACATTTTCTTGTCTTCTTCTGAGCCCTCCAAATGGTTTCAGTCTTTGCCTGTTACACAGTTCTAAAGTCGCTTCAATATTTTCGGGTATCTTTACAGCAGCACTCTACTCTACCAGTAACAATTTACTATATTAGTCTGTTCTTATGCTGTTAATAAAGACATACCCAAGACTGGGTAATTTATAAAGAAAAAGAGGTTAAGTGGATTCACAATTCCATGTGGCTGTAGAGGCCTCACAGTCATGGCAGAAGGCAAAGGAGGAGCAAAGTTCTGTCTTACATGGTGGCAGGCAAGAGAGAGAGCATATTCAGGGGAACTCTCCTTTGTAAAACCATCACATCTCATGAGACTTATTCACTATCGGGAGAACAGCATGGGAAAGACGTGCTCTCATGATTCAATTACCTTCCACCAGGGCCCTTCCACAACATGTGGGAATTATGAAGGCTTCATTTCGAGATTCGGATGGGGACACAGCCAAACCATATCAACTTCTTTTGTGATTCCACATGAATTTAATAACTTTTTTCTATTTGTGTAAAAAAAAGTCATTGAAAGTTTGATAGCGATTATATTAAATATGTAGATTGCTAAGGAAATTAGGAAAGTACGCCCATTTACAATGACATGGAAAAATGACACAAAGATTCAGGTATAAATTTAACCAAGATGCAATAGACATACACTGAAACATAAATGAAAGAAATTAAAGAATATACAGACAAATGAAAAGACATTTCATGTACCCAGATTGGAAGGCTTACTAATTGTTACAGTGCATCTTGTATTTTTATTTGTGAAATCTAGCAACTCAGCCTGGAAGCTACCACAGGTGATCCCAGTTACCCGTATCAATGCAGCGTATAATACACCAAAGGACTTCGAGAGCCAGAAGAAACAACTGCCAATGATCTCAGTTGACTGTTTATAACTGCCAAGAGCACAGTGGCTTTTCCTACTCTTCTGGGAAAGGAGTTTAGGCTTTTCTTTTTTTTTCTTCTTTTTTTTTTTTTTTTTTTTTTTGAGACGGAGTCTCACTCTGTTGCCCAGGCTGGAGTGCAGTGGTGTGATTTCAGCCCACTGCAAACTCCACCTCCTGGATTCGAGTGATTCTCCTGCCTCAGCCTCCTAAGAAGCTGGGATTACAGGCATGCACCACCATGCCCAGCTAATTTTTGTATTTTTAGTAGAGACGGGGTTTCACCATGTTGGGCAGGCTGGTCTTGAACTCCTGACCTCCTGATTTGCCCACCTTGGCCCCCCAAAGTGCTGGGATTACAGGCATGAACCACCATGACCGGCCCGAGTTCAGGCTTTCCTTTAGGAGAAAATGGATATGGGGATGAGGAGGAGTTGACAAAAATCAATCTACTATTTTAATTTACGTAGTGTAATCATGGCTAAAACACAAATATTTATTAATATATTTTGCTTCCATTATTCATTACTTTACTACTTATTGTTTTGATAAATGCATAACATTCATTTAGCTTGAAGTAACTCTTCCTATATTATTGTATATTTAGGTTGCTTTTAAAAATTATTTAAAGTAAGATGAATGTAATTATACATTAATGAATAGAAAAAGTACACAAGTACTATTACAGACAGTTTTCCAAGTGAAATAAAATGTGAGATGGTCATAGCAAATGGAAAAGCATAGTACAAAAGTAAAGGCAGGGCAGAGACATAAAAAATCAGAGTTAAGAATTACAAAACAATGATCAAATGCATAAAATATACATGAAGCCATTGAGTTGGGAAAGAGTTGTTTTCATGGCAAGCAGTGACATGCCTAACAAACATGCTTTAAAAATATTAATTCAAAGAAGCTATAAAATTAAGTTTCCTAAGGTTTAGATGCTGATGATATTCAGCAGAGTTAATGTTTGATATCAATAATTAAGAATCTTTGCAGAGTTAAAATATAGAACCAACCTTCATTAAGACAAGGGCTCAAGCTTCAATTCACTCATCAGCATTATGATACTTTGCCAATCATTTAACTTTTCTGTACTTCAATTTCTCTCCTTATTAGAACTACAGCCATACTTCCCAATAGAGAAATTTAATGTGTACAACTGTAGAAGTCCTTAAGAACTTTTAGCTCAGGTTAGTTCTTTGTATAGAAACTTCTCCAGTGAAGCCTGAGTGGAGGCTTCAAAGTTGTGTATGAACCACGTGCTGGGATATACACAACTTCACTAAAAATTTAGTTTCCTAAAAAGTTCTTTACCTTTTTTCTCCTAATAACTCCTAATTATCCCTCTCAGTTTCATAATTAAGCTGTTTTTAAGGTGCAGTAGCCCACACAGTATTTGGAAAAAGCAAAATCACCTTTTCATTTTGAAATGTGTCAGGTTTCTCTATTATGTGGTTTCCAAACTTTCATCTTTCTGCTCATCTTCCTTCCAATGAAATTTGTCTAACATGGAATATAATCACGTTCCTCAACTTGAATAGTATGACTGATAGCAATGATCTAATTTTTTTTTGAATTGTCGTCCTTAAGTGCAAAATTTGGTTGTAAAAACAACCCAACAAAGGTCTTTTTATCTTATCTTTAGATTTTAGAATGAATTACATTGTCATTTAAGGTTATAAAGGTTAGTTTATAATTACAATGTATAGTACTATTACCTGGTGATGGAAATAAACTTTAACTTTCTTTTCTTCTTCTTATTATTATAATTTAAGTTCTGAGATACATGTGCAGAACGTGCAGGATTGTTACATAGGTATACACGTGCCATGGTGGTTTGCTGCATCCATCAACCAGTCATCTACATTAGGTATTTCTCCTAATGCTATCCCTCCCCTACCCCCCAACCCACCGACAGGCCCTGGTGTGTGATGTTCCCCTCCCTGTGTCCATGTGTTCTCATTGTTCAACTCCCACTTATGAGTGGAAACATGCGGTGTTGGTTTTCTGTTCTTGTGTTAGTTTGCTAAGAATGATGGTTTCCAGCTTCCTCCATGTCCCTGCAAAGGACTTGAACTCATCCTTTTTTATGGCTTCATAGTATTCCATGATGTTTATGTACATTTTCTTTATCTAGTCTATTATTAATGGACATTTGGGTTGGTTCCAAGTCTTTGCTATTGTGAATAGTGCTGCAATAAACTTACGTGTGCATGTGTCTTCATAGTAGAATGATTTCCAATCCTTTGGGTATATACCCAGTAACAGGATTGCTGGATCAAAGGGCATTTCTGATTCTAGATCCTTGAGGAGTCCCCACATTGTCTTCCAGAATTGTTGAACTAATTTACACTCCCACCAACAGTGTAAAAGCATTCCTATTTCTCCATATCCGCTCCAGTATCTGTTGTTTCCTAACTTTTTAATGATCACCATTCTAATTGATGTGAGATAGTATCTCATTGTCGTTTTGATTTGCATTCTCTAATGACCAGTGATGGCCGAATTCTACCAGAGGTACAAAGAGGATCTGGTGCCATTCCTTCTGAAACTATTCCAAACAATAGAAAAAGAGGGACTCCTCCCTAACTCATTTTATGAGGCCAGCATCATCCTGATGCCAAAACCTGGCAGAAACACAACAAAAAAGGAAAATCTCAGGCCAATATCCCTAATGAACATCGATGTGAAAATCCTCAATAAAATATTGGCAAACCAAATCCAGCAGCACATCAAAAAGCTTATGCACCACGATCAAGTTGGCTGCATCCCTGGGATGATTCAAAATACACAAATCAATAAACATAATCCGTCACATAAACAGAACCAATGACAAAAACAACATGATTATCTCAATTGATGCAGAAAAGGCCTTCAATAAAATTCAACACCCCTTCATGCTAAAAACTCTAAATTAGGTACTGATGGAACATATTTCAAAATAATAAGAGCTATTTATGACAAACCCACACCCAATATCATACTGAATGGGCAAAAGCTGGAAGCATTGCCTTTGAAAACCAGCACAAGACAAGGATGTCCTCTCTCACCACTCCTATTCAACACAGTATTGTAAGTTCTGGCCAGGGCAATCAGGCAAGAGAAAGAAATAAAGGGTATTCAAATAGGAAGAGAGGAAGTCAAATTGTCTCTGTTTGTAGATGACATGATTGTAAATTTAGAAAACCCCATCGTCTCAGCCCCAAATCTCCTTAAACTGATAAGCAACTTCAACAAAGTCTCAGGATACAAAATCAATGTGCAAAAATCACAAGCATTCCTGTACACCAATAATAGCCAAATGTTAATGTTTATTTTTTAAAATGGTATTTAATTTTATTTAATGTGAGTTTCTTAAGGCAAGATTTTGTTCGTGAAACATGACCTTGCTCTTGTGTTCTAGTCACTGTGATCAAGTGAGTGTTTTGGTAGACAGACCAATTAATTGATCTCCAGTTATTTCTAATATTGCTTTTACCTCAATATAATTTAAAATTACCAATAAATTTATACCTTGAATATAACCACTTTATAACATTTTTCTTTCTTTCCTTTGTAGGCCAGGATATAGCATTTATATTTACAGTGTCAATTAAATGTAGTGGATACTTTTGTTTTGCTGAAATAAATCAGCATTTGCAGTATGATATTTACTTAACCAATATTTGTTTGAATTTGATGTAGCCAAAACTATTATGTTCCTGGATGCCTTAATTCTCCAACCAGTTTTCTCTCTTCTAATGACTGTGGAATGTTCATTGGTTCCACACATTAAGATGTCATGCGCAAAGTAGGTTCCCGAGTGTTCCTGACCTAGAAATCTATGGCAAGTTATGAATTTTGACATTTTCATATGCAAAATATGAATCTACTTTAGTAGGAGATCAACTGCTATGGTAGGGAAATTATAGATATGAAATGCAAACCATGTATCTATGTCCCATCTGAAGTTTTATCTCATATTTCAAATCCACTTAATTGCATATTCTCCAGTGTTATTTATATCAACAAATGGCACTTCCTTCAAGGCAATTTCCCAGGAAGGATTTCATAGATAATTCTTGATTGCTTTTTCTCCCTGATACCCCTCGCCAAGTTTTCTTTATTATGCCTTATGTATTTTTGAATACAATACCAAGTATATATTTTTGTGTTCTTTGCTTTTATTTGATGGCCATCTTCTCAAATACAGGTTGAAGAACAAAGTCCTGCCATATCTCTCTGCCTTGACTCGTATCTCCTTTATTCCATGAATCACAGTGTAGCTAGAGCATTTTTTGCTTTAAATAGCAAAACTGATCATGCCATGGCCTTGCTTACAACCCTTATTGACTCCTCGTATCCCTCATTCTAACTAAATTTTAATATATGGTTTTGTTTTTTTTTTTTTTTTTTTTTTGAGACGGAGTCTCGCTCTGTCGCCCAGGCCGGACTGCGGACTGCAGTGGCGCAATCTCGGCTCACTGCAAGCTCCGCCTCCCGGGTTCACGCCATTCTCCTGCCTCAGCCTCCCGAGTAGCTGGGACTACAGGCGCCCGCCACCGCGCCCGGCTAATTTTTTGTATTTTTAGTAGAGACGGGGTTTCACCTTGTTAGCCAGGATGGTCTCGATCTCCTGACCTCATGATCCACCCGCCTCGGCCTCCCAAAGTGCTGGGATTACAGGCGTGAGCCACCGCGCCCGGCCTAATATATGTTTTTAAAACTTAGAACCAATTTCATGCTTATTGAAAAGTTGCAAGTACAAAAATATTGCAGTACAAAAATATTGTTCTCTTCTTGAGCCACATAAATAATTTTTATACCTGTTGACCCAGCACCATCACCCCGAGGTACATTAATAGGTGTTTTCTACAAACAAGCATGGTTTTCTACATAACCTCTGCAAAAATATTCAGTTCGAAATTATATGTTGTATTTCATTGTCATATTCCTTTAGTTTCTTTTGATATGTAAAGGGTTCCTCTGAATTCTGTAAACGTTGACATTTTTTAAAGAATGCAGGCCCGTTTATTTTGCAGAAGATCCCTCAGTTTGAATTTGTCTGATGTTTCCTTACAGTAGATTTATGTGTTGTATCACTGGGCAGAATGTCACAAAACTAATGCCATGTTCTCATTGAGTGAGACATGATATAAATTTGCCCTATAAATAATGATGCTTACTTTGATCATTTGATGAGGTGGTATCTTCCAGGCTTTACCTCTATGGGTGAATACCTTTTGCCTTTTGTAATTCCCAGGCATATTGTCAACAGCTTGTGGGAGAAATTTTGATGATAATATCTTATTTCTGGTTAAAATTTCAATGTGTTCATTCATTTGAATATATTATTTTGTATTTATATTTTGGTATTTTATTCCATGGGGTATAAACCATTACAATAATTATTTCCATTTATATAATATTGTTCACATTTTGCCAATAAGATTCCCTTTATGCTGCCTTCTATGACAACTTTGACATGTCTGTGGGGTATCATGTGATATATCAATACATGTATATATTGTGTAATCAAATCAGTATAATTGGCATATTCATCTGCTCGAACACTTATTTATAACACTTTTAACATTTCGTGGTAGAAACATCCAGAACCTTCTCTTCTAGCTATTTCGATATATACGTTACATTATTGTTAACTATAGTTGCCCTAGTGTGCAATAGAGCACCAGTACCTATTCTTCAGATCTAACTCTAATTTTGTATCCATTGATCAATCTCTTCTCATTCCCCTTTTGCCTACTCTCCTGAGCCTCTGGTAACCACTATTCTACTCTCTACTTCTATGAGAAAAACTATTTTAGATTCCACATATGAGGGAGATCATGTGGTACTTGTCCTTCTTTTTTTGGTTTATTTCAATAACACAATGTCTCCTAAGTTCATCCATGTTGTCGCAAATGACACAATTTCATCCTTTTTGATGGCTGATTAGTATTCCATTGTGTGTGTGTGTATCACATTTTTTAAATTCATACATCTATTGTTTATCATTCTTGGAGCACTTCATTAAATTCTCCTCAAGAATATGTTCCAGGCTCATATGATACTTTCCTGTCCCAGTCCTGGAATCAGCAATTTCTTGAAGGAAACCTAATTTTTCTAGTTGGTCATAGGACGTAAAAATCCATGATTTGGTCGCTCTGCGTGCTCATTGTTATTGGGTTGTTGCTGCTCCCAGACTCTCTACATGGAAAGAACATGAGAATGCACACACACATGCACACTCATTTACATTTGTATTTACCTGTATATATCTAAATATTGAAAATCATGAAGTCACAATGATAACTACAACCTAATACCAATGACAGGATTCATTCCAGCTCTCTCTTTTCATCTTTATAATGCATGTTTCTCAAATAGTGAGAAACTCGGTGCCTAATATCCTTATTATATTTCCTTATTTGATCATTTACCATGCATGTATCTAATCTCTCATTGCTGCTGCCAGTTACTCTTCCTTTGTGAAGATGTCATCTTCATCATATTCAGACTGTGATACCCCTAATTGGGTCATTCAATCTCCAAAACTCTGCTGATTCTCTGTTCACTCTCCCATTTTTTTCACATCCCATTGAGAAACATCCTCTAATGTGAAAGTCCATCTCATTTTATCTTGCTCTGATAACTTCAGTGCCCACTCCACGAACATCCTTATCACCCCAAACATCATTTTACATAAATTAGGTAATTATGATGAAAACACATGAGCTTTCTTTACTGAGATTTGTTTAAACATTTACTGTATAGCAGACATTATCCTTCACTGTACTTATGCATATTAGACCCACACGATGGCCTTACTGACATCACCCTGTGAGACCTTATTGACAACACCATGTTGAAAAAAGAAAACAGACTCACATGGAAATGAAGTAAATTTCAAAGATTGCTTAGTTTATAAATGGTAGAGCCTGGATAAAGTCCAAATTTCTCAACTTGGTAGGTAGTTTTCTGTATGATCTGCGTTCAGGCTTTGCATCTTAATAGTTACTAAGTTGAACTATATAAAAGTTCCAAATTCAACCATTTTTATACCTACAAAAGAGAAATTTCCCAAGTTTCCACCTATTTTTATTCTCATATTTCCTGTCAATATTTTTCTTCCTATTGCATTGTAACCTACAGCCTATGTAAGTATTTGAAATTTCACTATCGTATCACGGCAACATGCACCTAGATCCTTGAGAATGTTGCTACAATAGAGAATGTATCACACTTCCCTGTAACTGTTCCCTTGGTCTATATTTATTACTATCCCTGGATCTAACTTTTATCTCCAGCTCTGAGAAGGTTTTCTTGATTTCTCAGATAGTATTAAATACCTGCCATACATTCTCAGTTAGTGTGGTCTATTACTACATCTATCATTATACATTGTAAACTAATTGCTCATTTTCTAACCTTCCTATTTATTCAATAGGTCTGGATGTTTTATATATTTTTCTACTGAATAGTACAAATATATTAATATGTTTTCTACATGGACCTTAATTCTTATTCTTTGCTGTGTTTTCCTAAACTCAAGTAGAAAAATATTTTTTTTCTCTTGCTTAGCCTTCTGCCTTATCTTCTATTTCTATTCATAACCCAGTTTCTGTTCCAAAAGTTGACTGACAGTTCATATTTACTGAAACTAAATTTCTCACTCTTGAAGAAAATGTAAATATAAATACATTTGCATATGTCCTTATTTCCTCTAAGGAAACAGATGGATGGGGAGATTGTAGAGTAACTTGCATTTACCTAACAATCAATGGCAAACACATAAAACTATATGTAGAATAAACACAGCACTTCCCGTATAATTTTGCTGCTAGTGCACTCTTTATACATACCACTTATCCATGAAGATTGAGTATGACCTTTTACAATCTCATTTGGAAAATGGGTAGATGAGAAATCAAGCCTACTTTATAAAAAATACTGTTACAGGACCCATTTGTCAACCAGAATATATGATGCTTTTGTATCAATCTGTCAGCATAACTTTTTTAGTGGGCTTGTAACTTCACTCATCTATCTTTATCTGTTATGAAACTTCATGTTGTATTAGTCCTATAGCACAATAAAACAAATGGATACTTTATGGCTTCCAATTGAAAATAAATGTTTCACGAAGATCATTTTTCTCTTCACAGAACCAGCTGAAAATTACTTTTCTTTGTGTCAACAGATTTTTAAGAGAAAAAAAAATCCACTAAAGTTAGTTTGGTAACTATTCAAAAGAAACTGTACTATTATTCAAAGGTGCATTCTCTTCAGAGTAGTATTACTCCATTGACTACGGGGAATGAGCTTTACAATCTGTGGGAAGTCTGTACTGTTAGCTTGTGGTAAAAGATGAAAGGTGGGAGTAGGTTTGTGTAGAGCCAGGTGCCATGGAATTTGCCTGAAATTTGAAGTCAATCTAATATCTTTTTCCAGTTTAACCAAATTTTCCTTTCCTTATTGATGTAACTATATTTTTACTATTTTTTGATCTTTAAATTTCATGTAGTATTCAATAAATCATTTTTGAATGAATAAGTTATAACACTTAAGAAAAATAATAAGAGTATTTTGATTAACATTATTTCATATATATCATTTATGCATCGTATATTGTAATAAATACAAAGGACATACATTTGATTATATCTTCTTCCTTATAAACAAACATAAAATTATGCAAATTTAAATATATGTCTCTTATCTCAATATTCATATGATCACCAATCATTCTTTTCTCACTTTCTTTACCTTAAATATTTTAACCTTCAGGTAAACTCATCCTGATTTCATAGATCTTGGAGTTAATAAAATATGCATTGTCCAAAAAAGTAGCTTTTTTGTGTTTCGTTTTGTTTATCTCTTGCAATCAATCCTCTTTATGTAAGACTCAATAGTCATTTTGTTCCAATTTACATATTCATTATTGCCTCTCAAATCTTAGCCATCTGGGGCATGGTTTTCATCATAACACTAAATACTGGGTAGGAGAGATAATATTTTAAGAATGTTAATGTTACATATTCTTGCCTATTTTATACCTTTCCTGTAATTCCCATTTAAGAGCCAAGTCTCAATGATTAAAAGCAAGTTCCCCTCTACCCCAGAATACAGTAGATGTTTCAACTATAGTAAGAAGGCAATCAGGCTACATTTTCTAGAAATGATGAAAATAGAAAGTAAAAAGTGTTTAGGTACAGGAATGGAGAAATGGAAAAATCTACCTCTTCTGTCCTAGGGAGAATATGAGAAAGGAATGGGATGAAAGGAAAGGCTTATGGTTACCATCTGGAAATTTAGTGGATTTGAAGAGCAACAGTGAAACAACTGGGCAACATAGATTCCGTGTTACAATTAGCACATTCAACAGAATAAAACTGGTATCTCAGTGTTGCAGTAAAAGAGGCCCAGTTAGCACTTTTAACCCTTTCCCCAATTCTTCAGTTTCATGAAAGGGACTCAGAAATCTTTGTGAGAATTCAGGAGGTAATCAAATATTTAGGCTAAAGGGACTTTCAAAGCAGGAACAAAATAATGTTGCAGATAGAGTTGCTGGACCACTGCATGAGTCATAGGTGAACTTGGAAAACAACTTGACATCTAGGGTTATCCCCAGTATTGGAGGGGACAAAGGTCCAATCAATCCAGTAGGAGCCTTATTCAAGGTAAGAGAATAAGAAAAAAATTTACTGGTCACAGATTTCTGTACCAGTTGATAGCAAGGCACTGGTGATTAAACTTCAAAGTGATATTGTGAAGGAAATCAGAAGAACCCTAACCCATTGATATTATTTAATCCCCTCACAACCCCTATGTAAAGAGAATCCAATGCACAGAGAAGTAGCTTGACACACAGAAAATCTAAAATATTGAACATTTACCCAACTAAGAGGAAATCATCCACAGGAGACTATTTGTACTGGTAAATTCTAAAATACGATTTCTCGATTTACTTCCCTGATTCTCAAAAGGGTATCAGGAAATACTTGTCCACGGGTCATTCATAGTTCTACATGTACTAGGGACAGAGATCATGGTGGGTTTTGAAACCGGGCTGCCTTTTGAGGATGTTTAGGTCACAAACAGCCTCGGAAGATAGAGAGACAGGGCTTCCCTCTGGACAAAAGGCAGGTTTGTTTGCTCACCAGTTTAATAAAGATAATCTCTTTGTCTAGGAGAAAGATTGGGTAGGTTTATGCACACCACATTATAAAAAATTGGTCTTTCCTAAATTTGAGGTTACCTCAGCTGTGACAAACTCACTGTGTGCAAATAACATACCCAGACTATTTTCATTGTCCCCATGGGGCATGAGGGATGGGGAAAACCAATGTGACGATGAAGCTCATGCTGCCTGCTGTGCTATGAGCAAAGATTGCCCCATTTAAAATGTGGCAGACTATGTTTTTAGCTTGGTACTGGAGAAAAAACTCACAGAACTTTCATTCTTCATATAAGGTAGAAAGTAGATGTGGAAGACAGGCTCAGATTTAGTACATATAAGAAAAATAAACAGAGTTTATACGTATACACACATATGCACATACATACAGATATATATACATATATACTAACATCATAAGGAAATAATTAAAAAACACCTCACTAAAAACTAAGATTTTTATCTCCTCTGCATGTCCTTTGGTATTGATATGGGGCTAGTAAAGTGTTTTTCTATTTTAACCATTTAAATTGGCTCTAACTCATAGTGTGATCCTGAATAAATTTTAAATGATATTTATGTCTTATTCACTCTCTTCTATATATTAAATCTTTTTTTGAACATTTCATGATTATAAAATTAGTAACCATTATAGAAAAATTGGAGTTATAAAAATTTCAAGAATGATATAATCTTTCTATTATTATTCAGAACAGTGCCTATTAATATATTTGTATATTTACTCCTAGTGTTTTTAACAAATTTTATTTCTATTTTGTTATTGAGCTCATTACTAAAATTCAATTCTGTATGTGTACAGCCTTGGATTCAGCAGTACCTTTGTCTGCAGTTGAGATTCAGAAATGTCCAGGTCCTCTTGGAATCCCTTTGTAGAATGAGTACCTGGGAGAAATTGTGTTCTGAGGAAACAGGGCTGACACAAAAGCTTTCCTGAATAATAAAGCCCCATGTTTTTGGAGGAAATGGTGATATTAAATTTAGCATGGTTTCTGTAATTCAGAGTTTTTATGAATCTCATCTTTCATGAGTTTATCCCCCCAGTAAATACACGCAATCATGGTCATTGTTTATTTAAAGATGGTCAAACTTGGAGAGGAAAAGAAGTTTCTTGGCATTCTCTCTTAATTGATTTTAACATAAGTGAAGACAGAAAGATTATCATCAATTACAGCATTCAGCACAGCAAAATTTTATCATTTTAATGATTTAAACATATCAGCAAGGGTGATAGGAGTTTCCAATGGGTGATATGGTGTAAAGCAGAAGCAGCACTGTATTCCACAGTAAACAGCAACACCACCGTCACCTCATGGGTTGAGGTGACATTACCCACTAGTCATAATGGAAGTGTCTAGTAGAATTATCAATATGGGGTTTCACTTCGAGTAAGGGGGGGTAAATTGTATTTCTTCCTTTTTTTCTTTTTCTTCCTGAAAAAAAACGAACAACTATTTTTAAAAAACAACAACAACCTGAAGATACTGGGCAGTGAGCAAAAGCAGACAGAATCAAGAGGGGATCAATACTTGGAAGACAGAAATGGCACTGGCCAGGTTTCTCATGATTATAAGACTGGTTTGAGAGCAGGAGCCAACCAGTAGGAGCCCTGCTGAGAATCTGAAACCTGAGTCTTTACTAGCTAAGGAGCTGGATTACTTAATTTGGCGTAATCACAACACATGTGAAATATATTTCCAAGATGTTCTTGGGTGTTTAATTCTGAAATCATACTTCACAAGTACCACAAATGATGCTCCATATTGACGCTGTAAGCCTTACTTCTCTCAGTTATAGTGACTGTTCAGATGCACTGAGAAAAAATAAAATAGCTGAGAGAAACCATATAAGGTCCTTCATACAAGATTTTAATGTGGAATGTAATGGATTATTTTAAACCCCTAAAAGTCTGTTCTCCTAAAACTGGTGACTTCTTGTACATCATGTTACAAAGAAGAAACTCAAATATTGAATTTAGTTAATAGTTTTATATCAATATTATATCAACAAATGTGCCACATTAATGCAAGATGTTAACAGAGGATACAAGGAGAGAATAATCTGAGCAGGTATATGGGAGCTATGTATTTTCTATTCAATTTTTCTGTAAACATGTAGCTGTCAAAAATAGTTTAATAGTTAAAAAAAGTATTCCCAAGGATTTGTAAATAAGCAGTTTTTATGTAAATGGCAGAGAAAACCATCTGGTCTCTTATTAGGTGAATTTGTGAAGAGTAATGTTTATTGCTAAACAAAATTTAACAGATTCAGTTGCATAATTGCTACCACTTTGGCAGCACCTTCATCTTTCTTAGACAGTATATAAAAATAGAATAATACAATATTTGCAATGCTTGCACTTTACTGAAATGACTTTTCTATAATATTTAATCAATTAATTTGTCTCAGTAAAAAAATCAAGAATCATCACAGTGAGGCAGCAGAGAATTACATTTATATTTACAACAATAAAATTATTAATAAACATTTGCGTGTGCAGTCTAAAAAATGAAGTAACACTGCAACCTTTTAAGCACATTACTAAATAAGCCATGAAGTCAAAACAGAGTTTGCAGTTTACATTCTGCAGTAGTAAATTCAATCTAAACAAAAATTTATTTACTATAAGGGATGAATGTTTTATCATTGGCTAAAATTATGATGTCATGCAATGATCCAGAAACTGGAAATAAAAAATTTAGAAATAAAAATGAATATGTTTTAACTGATGACATTAAATTTACATATGGTAATTAGTAGATCGATCAAAAGCTTTAAGAATACTTTTAAGACTTATTTGTACCTTATGACTCTTGTATTATAGTGACTAATTACGACCATGTATTCTATACCATGACAGCATACTTCACAAGCTATTTTTAGTTACATAGTAATGTAGGTGATTGTTGCACACACTGTTTACAAATTTATTTATGGTATAAAATTAGATTACACCCAACATAAATACAAAACTCAATTGTAATAAAATTCATGCTGACATTGAATTATATATTACTTAAAAAACTGCTAATGGTACACATTTTTAATAAGATTTAATTGTAACTAAAGTTCTTAGGTTTTAAGTATCACAGGAGTGATGTAAAGCTTTATACCAAAGAAGATAGAGAGATACATGAACAGGTAGGCTGATATAACACTACAATTCATTATGATATGTATATGTCCACACACACACACACACACACACACACAAACACAAACACACACAACATTCATTTGCATAAACAGAAGTAAAATGTTGGGAAGACAAATTAGGTCTCTGTAAAATAATGTAAGTTGAACAAATTGCCACAATTAATAATGATATCTTATTTCTTTATATTGTTCATATCAGGGCATTTTAATCTCTAAGTAACAGACTAGCCAACTGATATGGTTTGGCTCCGTGTACCCAACAAATTCTTATGTTGAATTTTAATTCCCAGTGTTGGAGCAAAGGTCTGGCAGGAGGCGATTGAATTGTGGGGGCGGACTTCACCCTTGCTCTTCTCATAATAGAGTTCTCATGAGATATGTTTGTTATAAATTGTGTAGCACCTCCCACATCTCCTCCTGCTCAGGCCATGTTGAATGTGCTGTCTTCCCCTTTGCCTTCTGCCATGATTGCAAGTTTCCGGAGGCCTCCCAAGCCATGCTTCCTGTACAGCCTGTTGAGCTGTGAGTCAATTAAATCTCTTTGCTTCATAAATTACCCAGTTTCAGGTATATCCTTATAACAGTATGAGGATGAACTAATACACCAACTAAATGAGACCTAAACAATTTATTTTAAATATAAATATATATATTTATATGTACATAACCAGATTCCCAGAAGGATAATAGTCCAGAATTGGTATGGCAGCTCAAAAACATCATGAAGACTTAGGATTTTTGATTCTTTTTCTTAGACATCTCTATTGTATTTGTTTTTGTTCTCAAGCTTATATGCTCATCTTCACAAGAAGGCTACACAAGATTGATGCATTATATGTTCATTGAATTTTATTGAAAAACATGAAGAAAGATAGTACTTTTTCCTCTTCTATCTTCCTTTTTTATTATGGAAAATTATATTTCCTAATAATATCAAAAACTTTATACATTATCAAAAATAATATAGCCATATGTCTACACCTACACCAATTATAGTCAAGGGGAGTGATATTCTCATCATTGGTTAATGTACTGTTATGGTTATTTCACAAGCCTAGGATAAGGAAACCCTTTATTCTGAATATACTGCAGCCTGATATCTGAGGAAACTCAGCAAGTAGGAAGATGTTGGGTAATGTACAATTAGTGTATCAGATAGAAAGCAAATTCACATGAGTACTATGAGATAAAAGATTTCTTATAGTAATTTGGATTTACATAATTATATGAGAAGCTAGGGGAGTAATTCCAGAAGAGCAAGATGGCAAATAAGGCCGTTACTGAATCTAACAGCAGATTTGGTCAAAACATAGTAGACATAGAAGCAAATTCAAATCCAGTATATATTACAAAAATAACAGAGCATTCTGATTAATAATAGAAATTTTTATAGGATATTTGTATACTATTAAAAACTGAGAGTTCTGAAGTTTAAACTGACTTAGAGACAGACAAGTTAATCTAACACAGCTTCATGAATATTGGTTGAAGACATTAGACCCGTGGTTCAAACATGAGGGACATGTTAGTAGTAGCCAATCAATATTTTTGTGCTCATTCTCTGAACTTCAGTCCTCACTGGAGGATGCAAAAGGGCCTAGATGACACTTGCACACATTCTAAATAGTGTTAAAGAAAACATGGACTTAGGAAACTTAAATAACTTATAATGAACAACAAGTACATCTGCCCTTTGCTCCAGTATCTAACTTCTATGGCTGTAACTAAGCAGACTGTTAACTCTATTACAATAAAATGTCACTATTTTCCAAGGCTGTTGGTGTAAAGCCATCATGGAAAGCAGTCCTGAAAAAAAGGATGTATATTTCTTATTCACAAGAAAGAAATTAAACCATATTATCTCCCAACAATGTTTCTAGAGCATCTTGGCTTCCAGTGAATATTCACAGAAGTATGTCAGTGTGTTAGCCACTCTGGTTGACTTACAAAGCCTGGGACAAAACCATTCAATTTGTCTCATGCAGAGTTTAAAACGACTATAAACATGACACCAAACAGCAGGATGAAGCCATCCTGCAGCATTGACCTTAACCTTGCTTCCCCAGGTCTTAGATTAAAATCAGCACACCTCTGGAATCTACCTTAGATATCCAGGTAGCTCTCTCCCTCAGTTTCCGTATTGACGTTTCCACTTCTCCCAAGCACTAGTCTCCTTAGAGTGGGAATTAACAACTTTAAAGACTATAACTTGACCCACAAGAATTAAAAACTAGATGATTCCATAATCCATAACAACCCTGGCCAGTGAGTTAAAGTTGACAAAATGACCTCCATGACTGAAGTAGTATCAACGCTTACCTCAAGTAGGGTCAGGGACAAATTTTAAAACATCTCTTTTATTTGCATGAATCCAATTATAGGAAAAGTTGCCAAAGGTATATATGTAAATAACGAGTCAGTTATTCTTCCAGTAAGTTCCCATGGATTACCAAGGGTAGCCTTTTGTTGGAGAAATCTCTGTAGTCATCTGAGGTTTACATGATTTACTGGTGATGTTTACTTAAACACTTGAAAATGTCTCTTGGACTCCTCTAATGTACAAGTCATTGTATTTTTAGGAGGTAGTTAATGTCTTCCTTCCATAATAGAAGTACATTGTTAAAGATACACATGGTAGCCCAGAAAATACAGTGTTAAAATCACTGGGGATCCCCAAGTATTGAACTACATTAATTGGGGTGCATAGGTTGACATTACCTCCAACATGAATTCCCAGCTGGTTCGGATTGGTAGTTGGTAGACTTTGGGGATTAAAGTTCAGCTTGAATAAATGATTCTAGTCTTGTTTTGAAGGAGCTGCATAAAGGCAGACAGTACAATCTGTGCTGTTAGTGCATGCTGCCAACTTGATGGCATTCTTCTGCCTTACAGAATGTCTAAGTGATGTCTTCTGGAATGAAACCTTGAAAATATACAAAGGTAGTTAGAAGTACTTTTTGCTGGAAGAACAGGATCTGGGGTTCTCACCAGCTATTTCTGATCAACTTTAGTTAGGGATGAGGGGAGTGGCAGTCAATCATGGTTAAAGCTGTCTGGCCAGGGACAAAAAAGCAGTTTATTAAACTCAAGGTTTTTGTGTTTTTGCAACATTTGGGGAGAGCTACTACATTTTTTTCTTTAAAAAGGCTTCAGAACTCTTCTAAAAAGACAAATATCAACCTTCATACTTCTTCTAGTTTTTTGGTATTGCATTCCCAGTTGTCAAGTTCCCATTATAGGAAAGACAACATTTTTTTTTAATCACTTTCACTTGGACCCAGAACTTTAATTTGGCAAGGGTCAGGTGCAGGAGGGTTAAAAGCATATTGTACCAAACTTAAAGAAACCAGTTCAATTTAACCCACATTGCACACAGTAGAGTAGTAGGATTTGTGATCAACTCAATTTAGTCATTGACACCTTTTTATTAGGACTGTGTCGGCCCAATAAGATAATCGAGATTGCAGATCAAGAATTAAGTTTGAATCCTCTAAGTCCCTATTGGGTCATGCTGAAACCTAGAGCTATGTCAAACCAGGTTGGCGTGAGGTTGCTATAAAGGGAAAGAAGGATTAACTTGCCCCAAAATGGTCAGGACAGGATCTTGAATTTTCTGAATACCCATGTAATCCTTCACCCCTTTTTCCTTCATAATTAACCCGGAAGCAATCAAGAAGAGAAAATACCTTCTTGGGACAGCCATTTAATTACCAATCTTCCTTTCCAAAAGCATAGGTCAAGAGGGGGAGATGGAGAAAGAGTTGACATGGTTTTCAGTCTACTTTTGAGAAGGTCTTTCAACAACACTAGATGCCTATGGAGTGTGCCTAGGGAGTGTGAATAGTCAGTCAAATACTTTGACTATCAGCCCATTTTTGAGTGACTGTTATGATTAAAGGCACTTCATTATCATATTGAAAATAATCAGGAAAACTTACAGCATACAATTATATTCAAGGGTTAAAACGATAAGGCAAGATTCAGCAGATTGAACTGAAAGAACAATTCTGATCTATGAATAATATGTCTAAATATATTATTTTTCTTAAACTATTGCTTCATGAGATGAGCTATTTTAAAATTAATCCAAATTTTACCTTAGTGTTTCCATATACTGATGATACAACTAGAAAGAACAAAAGTCATGTTTTGACAAATTAGATGTAGAGTCTCTTTGCAGAGGAGAAATAATTGACTAAAATATTTCCTTTGAAGCTGTATACTATGTCATATAAAAGAGAGTTGGTTAGAAATTAGCTTCAAATAGGTATTTAAAACAGTGACCATTGTGTAATTGTCTCACAATATTTCAGTGGTTAAGAGTATAAATATTTAAGTCTTAAATTTAACCATTTTATATTGTACATTCAGGATTATATTGAAAATATTTTACAACTAGGATGCAGAGAACCTTAATAATGGACACAGACCAATCAGAATGAACATAAATGAAAAACCATAGCTCTACTGGAGAGTACTGGCTTATATAAATAAAGTATGGACAGAAAAATATTTATGGAGACAGTTTTTTAGTAATTTGGAGTGTTGTTTGCTTCCAATGAATCTTAAAAGTCAATCGGATGAAAACTCATCCCACAAATATGGCAAAATATCACTGGGATAATGCACTTGATATCACTGAAATTTAAAAGCTTGGTGACACAGGAAAATCACATCTCAGATGATATTTTAATTTTTACTAATGCTCTAATATGACAAGAATATGGCTCCTTTAGATACATTTTATTCTGTCTCTGACTCTTGCTTTCTTCTGCATATGTCTTACTAAAAATAGTATGTGTGTATATGCATGTTTGTGTGTGTGAACTTACAGCAAAAGAGAGCTATTGGAGGCATTCTAATCACAGTTTTCCTACTGCTGTAATATCTGCATGATGAAAAAAGCATTTAGAATAAAATTCCAATAAGTTTAATTGTAAGTACTTTCAATTTAAATATGAAAATGAATGGGCATGAAAATAATTCATGGTATTCAGAGATGGAAAGGATTTTGTTACAGACCTTTACAAAGTGTTAAAATATTTTACCAATTTATATTATGACAATAGGTATGATGGTATTCAAGCATCAGATTTTATTTTTACTTGGTTTGAAACATGCATTTTAATAGCATCATGCCGATATTAAAATATTATCTAACATCAATTATATCTTAAAATATTTCCTATCAAGCCTAGAGTGAACATTGGTTTTTGCTAATGTGACTCTGGCATTAAGTAGTAAGTCAGAATAAAAAAGAATTAATAATCTACTGAGCTCTCATATGTACAGATAAAATTATGTAAAGAATGTGGGTTTTGCCATTGTAAAACAAGCAGATGTTACGATAGTGAGAGAAAAAATGTCGTTATAAGTATCCTTAGTTGTTTGATTTGAGGTATTTTTAGCTAGATAAAATGGCGTTAGACACTATTATGGTAAATGTAATTTTACTATTAAATTTAGAATTACAGGCAATTTTCTTTTGATTGTTTTAATGTTATGATTTATGCCCTTAGACAAATTAAAATGTTTTAATAATTTCATAGTCTGTGCTAAGTTTTCCTTATTTGCAGGTAATTTTCCATAGATGTCTGAAAAATGAATTTTCTGAAATTATTACTGAGAAATAGGTTCAATGGAAGCTATTAGTAAGATTTAATGTTATGAAATAATAGCCCTGTACTGAGTTCAGATGCCTATACTAGACTGATGAGGTAGCTGCATGACCTTGGGCAAAATCTGAATGAAAACTTTTGTAACTTTTGTCACTTTCAACATGAGGGAATGTACCATCATATATTGAAACTTTTATCCTTTTAAGTTCTAAGTCATAAATGAGTGTCAAATGCTTAACAATCTCTTCAGAGTTACAGTTTAAGTCAGGACTATTTAAACTTTAGTTATAGCTTAAATCAGGATTTCAGGAACAGTTCCATTCCCTATCCTGGCCTAAAATATATTTCTGTTATGTAAAAGTAGTGTAGTCAAAAAGAAAAATAATGATTCCACCTTCCTCTCCTGCAGACAATCTTTTCTATTTTTTTGAGAATAGAGAAATCACCAGTGGATCTCCATTAGAAACCAGACATTATTTTTTCACCTGATTGAAGCCTTTTAGGCCTTACACTAATTATAAATATGATCCCCTCATTCCCAGGTGAAAAGGTTTGAATGTTTTTGTCCCCTCCAAAATCCATTTTAAAATTTAATTCCCAATGCAATGGTATTGGGAGGAGTGGACTCAAGGTAATTGGTGGGATTAGATACTCTTATAAAAAGACTTGTTGAGGGGAGTTCACACTGTTTTGTTCTTCCACCTTCTGTTACATGAGGCCATAGCATTCCTTCCCTCTTGAGAATGCAATCTTCAAAGTGTCATCTTGGAAGCAGAGACCTGGTCTTCACCAATCAACTTGCCAACACCTCATCTTGGACTTCCAGACCTCCAGAACTGGGAGAAATAAATGTCTATTCTTTTTGAATTACCCAGTCTGTGCTATTATGTTACAGCAGCACAAACTAATGCTTTAGGGAATATATATGTTGTAGTACTTAACACCATTGCATCCCACAAAGGTTGTATGCGTAGGATACTTTAGAATAACTGGTCTTCTGGGGTTCTTCCAGAATATTTTCAGGGGCTCCTCTGGATATGTGGAACAAATTCTCATAAATATTTCCTGCAATTACTTCTTTAGTAATTCTGACTTTTATTATCTGTGAAGCAGCAACCTATCCTAATCTGTGTCTTCCCTATTTACAATTAACCTTTATTGTCAACTAATATTCTCGTCCTTAGCTAGCCAATGATGTCTGTCAGTACTAAAACACATTTACACCAGTTTCCGATTGTGCAGCAGTTTCCTATGATCCTACAATTAGCTATCAGTGGAGGCCATGAATCTTCATGCTTAAAATTACTTATTCAATGTCTGTCTTCTTAATTGGCCTTAAATTCCAAGAATGAAGTAGGTTCTCCCTCGTATTCATACTTTTTCCTTTGAAGCTATTATGGTGCAGGTGATATATAAGCATTTGTTAAATGAATAAATCAACATGGAAGAAGAAGAAGTTCTAGTAACAGTCTACCCCTTAGATGTGTTCTACTTCTCCCTTGGGTTATTCACAAGCAAAGTAAACTTTTATTGTTGTTCTTGCTGCTGCTCTTTCTGTGTGCTTCGTTACCAACATCATAAATTGAAACTAGAGTAGAAGCAATATTTTTGGAAAAACATAAATGCAGAGAGTTTAAAGGCTACTTCAATAAGAAATGATCATATTTATATTATTAAATTGTGGTTTAAGTTTGTGCAACATTTTTTACCTTAGCTCATTTTAATCTCTTATAGACATTATTATCCCCTTTAACTTACTAAGTTATTACATTATTAATCAGTAAATCTTATAGACATTATTATCCCCTTTAACTTACTAAGCAATATTTAAATCTGTGAATATTTAGTTTTGAGTACCAACCTATGAATATGTTCATGTATTTATATGTTTTGTCGATACAAATATTCTATATTTGGAATAAATCTCCACAATTGTCACTTGTACCCATATTTAACGATTGCTTGTACTTAAGAAATTAGCTTTTTACATGCATGTAGTTGATAATATATTAATACACGACTTCGATAAGGGTTAGAGATTGGGAAATTTTGGAGAAATATTAATGATTGTGAGTTAAACAATGTTATTTTAGGGAACAATCATGGTCCATGAATTACATAGTTAGATGGTCGCAAAAGTGGGAATAAGACACAGATACTCAATTTATTCCTTCCAGTATTCCACAAACATAATCTTCCCTCCTATGTCATCTTTTTGCAAGTTCCTGTGTTCATCTTTGGCAGCAGTATGATGCCACTTCCGATTTTTAGTGGGATAAGAATTAAAAGTACTCTGTCCAAATCTGTATCACATGCCAAAATTTTCTATTAAATCTGTGAAAGAAACAGACTAGTGTTGCCTTAGCAGGGGAAGGCAGTAAGTATAGCTCATCATCAGTATGTCCTGAGTTCAAGCATCTGAGGGAATCTTTGTTCTTTGTCTATGTGCTGCTGTGGCCAGCATCAGAGGTTTGATTCTCATGTGGCCCAATTAGCTGTGTGTTGTTCCATAGCTGCTGGTGGTGCAGTTCATTTAATTCTTTTTAGGATGATATCTTTATAGAGATGCTTTTTTTCAAAATCCCTCTTATAGCAAGTTTCAGGTTCCAAAAGGAAATTGTTTAGAATAAATTGCTTTTATGTTAAAGAAATACCATGGAGATGTATTTTGCTGTGACTGAAGAAGAATTGAATTATTTTAAATGTTCAACCATTATAATTTGTGAAGTTAGTCATGTAGATTTAAGAGGTGTTTCTGCCATCTTTTAAGTTTGTACCATCAAATTTCTGGAACACATGTTAGCCAATGGAACATGAATGAAAAAACTAAAATCTTCATTTTCAAATATGAACATCAGAGTGGGAATGTTTATTTTATTCTTCATGATTGACATATTTGATTTCTATGTAGAATAAAATAAAGTCATCATCTATAATATGATTTTACATATAAAGTAACTTGAAAATTTCATAGTAAGTAGAACCAAAAGTTTAAATTTGTTATTTAAAAGCATCTTTTACATATACATTTTTTAGTTAAAAACGGACTCTCAATTAGGATATTGTATATATCTATGGCTGTCACATAACAAAATATCAAGAGAGTAAGCAGTAAAGAGAAAGAAATATATGTGATTTATAGAGGTACAAAGATCTCCTTTTATTACGAAGCTTCTAATGCCAATCTTCATTAATACAGATGTCATTTTTAAAAGTTCAATATTAGTAATAAGTATATCAGACGTTCTATGGAAAGCATTCCTTAATAACATAACTTTAAGTTTGTAATTCATTGTTTTTTTTTCTACAAAATAAGACATGATTATGAAAACTAATAGCAATGTTACACTATCTGTTCTACAATACTTAAAATACCAAGCAGGGTATTTTTAAATGTAGTGAAAATACATATTTAAATTCAGACAGCTTTTCTACAGCACTTCTATTGGATCATATATCAGGTAGTAAAGTAAAAGCATCTAATTGCCATATTCTTTTATAAAGTTAAAAGAGGTCTGCTATAAAAATTACATGTAATCAATATGAATGCAACTATAAAAGTCACTACATATGGCACCCTGCAATTTAATTCTCTTTTCATAATTACTGCTGGTACCAGTTTTATATTTAGAGTGTACATAAGAAATGAATACTTTGGCACCAAAAACCTCCTCTATTTTACAATGATTTTAACCAAATAGATAATTTCTCCCATCAACGGGTTAAGTTCCTTTTTGAGAAAAAGTAAATTAATACTTAATTGGTATTTATTGTTTAACATTTAAAGTTAGATATTTCTGCTTTCACAATGAGAAACATCAATTTGTCCAGGAGAAACATCATGAAAATTACCTGTAACATTAACAAATTTAAATTAATGAAGAGTACAATTTAGAGTAAATTTGAGTGACATTCATTCTATAATGTATATGTTTCTAAACATTACATTGCACACCTTAAATATATACAATTTTTGTTTATTACATCTTATAAAGCTGGTAAAATAAATAAATAGTTAAAAATAAAAGCTTGTGGGAAAATAATCTGATTCTCCTGAAAGGTAACCATAATGTGCAGAGTTCACTTTTACAGTGTGACTATCCCAAATTTTAGAATGATTAATTCAGTTTCATACCAATCACTTCATCTGAAATGACAAGTTGCTTTTGCAATGAATTATCACAGTGAATCATCTGGTTTTACATGTGGTCTGAAGGACTATTTACTACTTAATGGTTTTCTTTACATTGTATTCATAATTTAGTACTATAGCTACAGTTCCTGTTTGGAAATATTATAAAATATTGAAACCCTACCCAGTGCCAGGCATTGTGCTAAAAATGCTCACCAATCTATCATGTAGGTACTATGATTATCCACATGTATTCAGGAGATATGACAGATTAAATAAGATGCTCAAGCTTAGATGGAGGTGAGGGGTGAGAAAGCAGTAATTCACACTCAAATAGTCTGATTTATTGGATCAACCCATTTATCTCACTGAATTTTAGTCAAGTTTAAGTTGTGTATTCAATGTCATAGCTTTAAAGTTATTTGAGGTATTCTTACTTTAATTCAGGCATATATTTATTTAAAATAACAATGTGAAATATTATTTTCAAAAAATTGAAACAAAATCAAGCAGCATTTATTAGGTATATATATATATATATATATATATATATATACACACACACACATATACGTGTATATGTATATATCCTACTCTGTTTAGAAATAACATATATATCCTACTGTGTTATAAATATATTTTCTGGAGTCCAATATAATAATCTCATTTGTAATTGAAGCTTTAAAATAACTGGCTATAATAATTATCAATATGATTGTTGATTAACATTTAATAAAATATATATATTAATATGTAAACAAACATATTTGATTAATATTTAATACAATGTATTTATAAATATATAAACATGAAATTTTATTATATTTATAAATATATTTTGTTAAATATTGAATAATATGACAGATTATTGTATTATGATTATATGATATAATTTAATATATTATTAAAATAATGGCAGCATATTAACTTTTTTCATTAAGAAGCTAAGTTTATCATTAAGACATTATCATTTCTTAAGCTAAGTTATTCTTATACTGTAGCCGTCCAAATTAAAAAAAAAATCCCACTTTTCTTTGAGAAGGGTTCCACTTTCCTGCAGCTAGCCCCAACCTTTCTTTTATCTTCTATATGCATTCTGGTCATTGTTTCAGTATGCCTACTTTACCTTTATATATTTTTTAAATCATTACATAATCTATCAGAGATAGCACATTCATTATTTCCTAAGTACTCTTAGAGTCTTTGACTTTTATGTGATGGATTCATCATCTATGGTCTTTTAAAATGTCCAGTTTTTTCAAAAGCCTTTTTTGGCTACTGGGGACTTAACCAAATGTTTCTCTAGGTCCATCATTTTTCAGTGCAGTGCTCTGGGAAATTGGTTGGCATTTTGTACTTCACAATCTTTTTTATTAAAATCATTTATATCTGGATCATCACCAATATACTTCTAATAGCCTCTAGCAGCTGCTTAGCATTAAAATTTTTCAAGTTACCTCCAGCTCCTCACATTCCAAATATTGTAACCTACAGCTCAATATACCCCATGTCTGGACTCTGTGGTCATGTGTCTAAGGCTTAAAGGAAAGGAGAGAGAGCTGAAGAAAAATTAGGCAAAATGCCTAGTAGCTTAGATTCCTCCCATTCGGTTTTTCAAAACGACAATCTGCTATCTGAACAGTGAAATACATGGGCACCAGATTGAACATAATTGTAGAGTTCTTCTGAATTTTGTTTCAGCATAATTTACTTATTAAATGTTGCCTCTATGAATCTCCATGTTAAACCCCTTCTACCTGTTGCTATCTGTTTCATTGTTATTGCTTGGAAAGGTAGCAATGGAAGTGAGTTACTGGGGAATTACTTTCTGACCTTTTCTTTTGCAGTTGAAATGAGCAGAGTTCTAAGAAGACATTTCTGACAGCAGAAACAGCACTAAAATAGAGGAACCATTTTATCTCTTCCAAAGTTCTAAAAATAGAGAATCTTCCACCTCTAGGAGTAGGTTTTTCCATGGAAATTTTTCAGAGGCAATACGTTAAAGATATAACCTGTCTGAATATTTCTATACACCTTGTTTTTTTAAAAGCCTGCCATGATACAAAATATTCAGGCATAATATACAATCTAAAATTGACTACAGCTCCAATTATGGTTTAACCATAATTCATTTAAGTATGCTAATAATGGTAATTGTGTATTAATTTTACAATTTTAATTGCCTTCTTATTTGTTATTTGGTTTACATCATATGATCATATGTTATCAACATACAAAAAATTAACAGAATATGAAGTTAAGTGACTTTGACTTGTTAATGTAATTGAGCATGTCTGGCTTTAGGCTATGAAATTTGCATGTGACTGCACCACATCATACTGGTTTTACAAATTCTTTCAATAATAAGTAATTTTTGATACAGCTCACTTGCATTTTTCTAATTAACCTGATATAGTTAATTGCATGACAAGTCATTGATTATCTCAATAGGAAGTGTAGCAATCTAATATGGCAAATAATTCAAATGACTTATATTGATATGTGTTTCATTTTCCCACAGGAGTGAATTTGATTGTTAAAATATTTTTTAAAAACCAGTGATTCAGAAATACATGGAAATTATATCTGTTCTTTCCTCTACACATTCTTCAAATCTTACCTTTTGTTGGAAATAAGTATGTTTTAAAGCCTGCATGGATTTTTCTCTAGCTATTCCCCCTGTGTCTGGCTTTAAAGAACATTTAATTATGCAGAATTTCTGAAGGTCCTTTTGTAATTGGAAGTATTAATTTCACCTTAGAAAAATATTGAATATTCCAATGGCAATATGTAATAATGCAACAGATATATTTTATAAGAATCACAAAGATTATTCCAACTTCATAAAATTATGTTTATTTTCTCACCATTGTTGATTTAAAAAATCTCTTTCATTAATAATGTCATAATTGCTATAGCACATTTTTGTTAGCTAGGCTTTGGGAAAACTTTCTCTCTCTCTCCTTTTTCTGTTTCATCCATCTTCTTTCTTTTATTAGGGTGTTAAAAGTTTTGCTTCTCTAGCCCAATGGTCAGGGAATGGAGTGGAGAGAGAAGATTTAAAAGACTCCTAACTGAATGCTTAACTAAAAGTATTGCCCAATACCAAATTTTGCCAACAAGGAATAGTGATATGACCTAAATATTATAGAAGTTATTAAGCCAAGTTTGTTTTCCCTGTTTTTTATATCAAAGATTTTGTGAACAATAGCACCCCAAAAGAGGCTATGAAAGTTACATGGATAAAAAAGATGTGTGCATTATGCCTCTGGTCCTATCATTGTCCTTTCTTAGACAGTCATAAATTAATGGTATATGTACAGCTTTACTGATTTGCAATAACTGGACTTTCTCACTTCATTTTCCATTTTAGATGTTTATAATGATAATGTCAAGGAGACCTAACTGGTCTATGTTTTTCAAATAAGTTACATAGACTATTGTGAGATCTAGGCTGATAAAAGAAACATGCTTAAAAATTGTTTCGTGGCATTGCAATGTGGAATTTAAGAATCATTTTCTATTAGATATGGAACTGATATACAATAACACATGGGTGATTCTTTATAAATCTTGTTGAGTATTCTTTATTAGACAAAGACAAAGAGCAGTTAGAATTAGGTTTCTCAGATCTTACTGTATAATTAGTAAAAATGTCTAAATTTGTACACATTAAGATATCTAATACCATGAGAAATTTATCTCTGTAGAAGTTTCCTGAAAACTTAAAAGTTCTGTACAAAAAGAGGGGCCCTACTTACTCTCATGCTTTTCTCAAAACAAAACAAAACAAAATTTTTTCCATTTTAAATAGCACAAAGTAAGAAAAAGAATCTACCATCTTTAAACTTCATTTTACAAAAAAAGAAACTGGTAAAAATTATATTGCTGATGTTTCAAAGCTCTCTTGGAGAAATAAACTTTCTACTGACAAATTAATCCAATCATTTTAATGGAGTTTTTCTTTGCAAATTATTGCAATTTTAATTTCATTGAAATATTCTAAATGTGTTACAATTCACTGAACATCATCTTTCCTGACTGTATATTTCAACATGTTCATGCTTATTACTATCAAGTAAGCATAAAAATTTCAACCAGCTAAGGCACATAGAAATAGCAATTTCCTTTAAGTTATTTATATTCAGAATGGAAATCTGAAAGCGATAGAATGAAATCGTAAATGATGAAACTTCTTGGGAGGAGAAAAATGGAAGTATGCCTAGAATATAGTATGCGCTACTTAATAAATATTAAATAAATTAATAATTAGAAAGGTAAAATTGACTCCTCTGGCTTATCATACCAAAAAAACTGCGAGGTTTTCTCTTCTTTTGAAATTTAATGCCATAAGCAAATGCTCACAATTTGGAAAAGAAAATCAAAGTAAATGATAAGCACAGTTGTAATAGATTAGATTATTTTTCAACAAATATTCACCTCCCCTCAGACACTATCTCCGTGGCATATGCCTGTGACATTGGCTTTGGCCATAGAACTTGTTTGGCCAATGGGATTGTGGGCAGGAATGCCAGTGTGCTATTTTGCATTTTTCCTTCTGACATTTTCCAAAAGCCCTAGAAATGACAAATATGGAAGAGACCTAAACTAGATTTTAGATTAAATCAGAGCCACATCATCCCCTCCACAGAATTATGAGTAAGAAATAAATGCTTACTATTTGCCATTAAATGTTGTGCTGATTTCTTACTCAAGGAAAGCTGACTGATACAATGAATTTTAAAATAATGCTTGTCAGGGGAGGCGAGGGAAAGTATGCTCCTACTTTAAAGTAGGAGCATAGGGGTAGATGCAAAGTATTCTTTGTTGTCTAGCACTTAAGTTGGATAATGGGTCAAGTAGGAGCATAAAGTAGGAGCATAGGGGTAGATGCAAAGTATTCTTGGTTGTCTAGCACTTAAGTTGGATAATGGGTCAAGAGTTTATTTTATAATTATGCCAATAGTTTATAAATAAGACGTTTTGTATGCACCATATATTTAAAAATTATAAAAAAAGAAAAAGCAAAGAGTTTTTAAATTTTATGAGGAACACAATAAATCAGTGTTATGCCTATATATAAATTTTCAATGAGATAATATATCTGTGAAAATACACATGTCCATATTACATACATCACATATGGACGTACTTATGTTAACGTGTTTTTAAAAGCTATTCAGAACAATTCAAAATCATTAGAAACTACAGTTTTCAACAAAATAAAACTGAACAAACTTCACTTAATTGGTTTTAAAATAAATTGATTTTATTTTTCTTTTCAGAATCATAAAATTAAAGTTTTAAATATATTAGGAACGTTCTGAAATACTCCACACGAGACTAAGAAGTATCATCTACATATATACATATAATAGCTTCACATATCCTTATATTTTTCAAATGCTGTTATTCACGTGTTCATATTGAACGACTTTGCACATTTGGATGAGAAAGATATGTATGCATTACCTTGAATAATTTTTCATTGGGAGATCGCAGGACTTTTGAAATATTATTTACTGAAGTGTATTTGATACAAATTCTTTCAAGCTACTGTAAGATCAAGATCTATTGAATTATTTTAAGATGCAAATTATTTTCAGATAACTTTTAACCTATATTAAATATGTAAGTTAACTATTAGTTAAATAATATTAATTAACTACACTATGTATTTGGTATATATGTTATACTCTATAATTACTGCTTTTGTAATTAGAAAATTAATATGATAAAAGTTAAAAAAAATTGCTTAGACTTTATCAACCCAAACACTGTAGGTCTCATATAGATACATTATAACTTACTGTAATAGAATAGCATTACCTAATTTATATTTACAGATTGTATTCAAAAACTGAAAATACAATTGAGAAATATGAGCACCAACTTAATTCATAAAACAGTGATAATTCAGGTTTCTTTTTGTTTTCAATTAAAAAAAAATCAGGCCAAGCACGGTGGCTGACGCCTATAATCCCAGCACTTTGGGAGGCTGTGGAAGGCAGATCACCTGAGGTCAGGAGTTCGAGACCAGCCTGGCCAACATGGCAAAAACCCATCTCTACTAAAAATACAAAAACTAGCCAAGCGTGGTGGTGCATGCCTGTAATCCCAGCTACTCGGGAGGCTGAGTGGGGAGAATTGCTTGAGCCTAGGAGGTGGAGGTTGCAGTGAGCCGTTGTGCTATTGCACTCCAGCCTGGGGAACAGAAAAAGACTATGTCTCAAAAAAAAAAAAAATGCTTGTTTCCTATACTGTCAGTATCTCCTGTTGTTCAAAGTCAGGTACTTTATTTTGCATTCCCTGTCACATTCAAGATTTAGTTTTGTTTTTACTATTTTGGAATCTGGAAACAAGAAGTGAATTCTCATTCTTCTTTAAAAATAACTCATTTATATTTGTGTCAACGGAAATAATTTCAGGGTATAAAATCTGAGGAAATGTATTGAGTGATGTTACAGTAATTCTTTTACAATTCTAAGTGAGCTTCAGATGAATGAACTTGGTGCATTTGAAAGAGGCTCATCTCTTCTTTCTTTTCTTTTTTGAGACAAAGTCTCACTCTGTCACCCAGGTTGCAGTGCAGTGGCACCATCTCCGCTCATTGCAACCTCTGCCTCCCAGGTTCCCACCTTAGCCTCCCTAGTAGCTACAGGCACACACCACCATATCTGGCTAATTTTTGTATTTTTTGTAGAGACAGGGTTTCACCATTTTTCCCAGGCTAGTCTTGAACTCCTGTCCTCAAGCAGTCTACTTGCCTTGGCCTTTGAAAGTGTTGAGATTACAGGCGTGAGCCACCATGCCCAGCCAGGAGGCTCATTTCTAAATCAACATGTAAATGTACTTTGACCTTTAATGTTCATAAATGATGTTTGTATTCCTTAAAGTTTTCTGAAGATTTCAAACTTATCAATATAGGCTTATATTAACTTATCAATATAGGTTTCCTTTAATAAAAATGTAGGAGACAAAACGATAAAAGATTTTGCTATGATGTACTTAATTTTATATGAAAACTTTCGTAAATTTTTAATACATTTATTTTAATGTAGTTGAAGGTGTCCCTGGTGGATTACAGGTAACCAGTTCCACAAGATGGGACTGAAAGGTGACCATGGACAACTCTAAAAACAAAAAAAGCTTTTCATAACCAGTTTGATCAATACATTCCTTATTTTCCTTTTTCCTTATATGAAACTTAATATGTTCATACCTTTCTTTTATAATACATCCTGCAGTCCTGACCTCTTCCATACTGATTTGTGAGTAAGTTTTGATTTCCATTTTGGTTGTTATGGTGGCCTCTATAAAGCAACTATGTCTAATCTTGCATTCTGCACAAGTGATATAAAATCTTAACTAGCTATTTTATTAAAGATAGAAATTATAACAATATATCCATTTAAGAAATTAAAAATTTTTAGAATTTATCAAAATTATATATTCTAGCTTATTTTTTCTCAGTGTTTTACTAAAATGTAGTACAGTCTGCTTCAAAGTTACATTTTGAGAAAAATCATACATAATCATCGAGTTGTTAATGCAGTTATACACTAAGTGTACAAAGTCTTATATATTTGTCATATAATTAGGTTTTTTTCAAGTTATTTCTAGCTTTTTCTTCCCATAATCCCTTACATATTTTTAATTTAAAAAACCTATTGAAAATAAAATGAATGTGATTCAGAATATTATATTTAATACTTGCTTATAATAAATATGAGATAAAATAAAACAGTGAACATTGATCGACAGTGTAAGCAATCATTTTTTTTTCCAAGAGAAGCATTAGCTGATGACACCAGAACTTCCTGTAATTAGCCCTGGCAAGACTCACCTGTTATTTAGTTCATAGCATGTAGTAGTCTAGCCCCAAACAATCTGTCACAGTTTAATAACTCTAAACATTAGGATGTAAAATTATCAGAAATAATGGGGTATATATAAAACTCTAAGGTCATGATTATTCACATGGAAAATGGCAATCTTTATTTTTAACAGCTACTTTGACAGGGTTGTTTCATGTGTGTGTTTATTGAGTAAATAGATAACACTAAGGACATCATCATTAACATAGAAAATAACCATACTCATATGATTATTAGCTATTTTGGAAGCTAGAGATGTTGCATGCTTATGAGGGCACTTGTGTAACACTGAATGTCTTCCCTCCTTAATCTAATACAAGAAACCCACTAAAATGCATCCATCAACTGTGCATGACATTACTTGTTGCCTTGTTTTATATTTTGAATAAGTCTGCTCAAGTAGTAGACAAACAGAATTTATCTTTGGAATTGGAACCTGACTATCCCCTGCAGGTATGCACCTCTATTCCAAAATGCCATGATCTGGAAATAACGAATGGAATAAATATCTACAGCTCTGCTCCTTGGGAAGTTTGCATGCCAGGATAAACCCAGCTTTCTCCATTGACCTCCATGTTCTGTATCTGTGTCTTCTCTAAATTTGTTTCCCCTGTCCTCCATTGCCATTAGTGAGATGAGTAATGAAGACTTTCTCCTTCTTTGTGATTGCTCAATTATATTAGACCACTTTCTAGTGGTGTAGTTTTAAGGACCTAGACTTTCTTTAGGGATATAACTGCCACTGGCTATTTTTTCAGGACAGGTATGTACATATAGTAGACTTCTGATTTATTTGCTTCCAGTCCCAAATGCAAGTAACCATAGGCAAAGGGCTTATATAAACAGATTATTTAAGATTAAAGTATTTTACATTTCCTATAACTGTTGCATTTTCCATCTGCACCTCTCTGAAAATTGAGGCCATCTGAAATAATGAGCTTGGATAGAAAAACAACACCCTAAATTGCCTCTTTGCAGCAGAGTAATGGTATTTCAGTAAACTATTATTGTGAAATCTGTGGCCCTGCTCTCTATCTATCATCTATCTTTACTGTGCTTAGTAGCATCCCTCCAAAATTCATGATCATAGGAAATCTCAGAAAATACTTTTATTTGGAAATAGAGGATTTTTGGCAGAAGTAATTTAAGATGTGGTCATACTGGATTAGGGTGAGTCTTAAATCTAATGATGGCATCTTTTTAAGAAGCCCATATGAAGACAGGGAGAAACACAAGGAAAAAAACAGTTTATGTGATAATGGAAGTAGAGTGGTGTGATTTCACCTACAAGCCAATAAATGCCATGGATTGCCAGTAGCCACCAGAAATCAGAAGAGAAACATGGAACAGATACTCCCTCATTGTCTCCATCAAGTACTCACCCTAACACTTTTAAACTGCTAGCTTCCTTAACTATGAGATAATTATTATTTTTTGTTTCAAGCCACCAAGTTTGTGGTAATTTGTTATATCAGCCCTAGAAAACTTTGTCTGTCTGTCTGTCTATCTATCTATCTATCTATCTATCTATCCATCTATCTATCCATCTATCTATCTATCTATACATCTATCTCTATCTATCTATCTATCTATCTATCTATCTATCTATCTATCTATCTATACATCCAACTATCTTTCTACACATGCACAAATACACATCTCATCTAGGACAGAAGCTGTTGACTTTTTATCCTACAAATCTGCAATATAAGGGATTCTTATTTCTGCTTAAAGATAGGCTTCTTCTACGTTGAGTCCATAACAATTTTGCAGGATTTTACCAAAAGCAGCAAGCAGCAATCATAAAGGGATCCTGTGACTCCCTTTACAATTCCACGTAATAACACCACCTTAGCCAGTCTGCAGTTTGCCTTCCAAAGCATAAAATGTAACAGTTTGCCAAAATTGTTTACCAATGCAAAACAAAGGTCTAGGCAGGTAGCTTTTAAGGCTATCATTCAGCATCTGGGTCTTTGCTTGCATTGCATTTCCACAATTAATGATGGTTCAAGTTCCTTCATATTACTGCTTTTGTATGTGATTGCATATATATTACAGCCAGCAGGTAACAGAAGGAAAGAAAGAAGATGAAAGACTATTTCCTTAAGAATGATTCCTGAAAGTACTATAAAATTGGCATATTTATTTAGCAGTTTTTAGTTAAATGGTCCAAACTAGCAGCAAAGTATAAAATTTTGTCTTTTAGTTGGGTCAATTGCTACCTTGAAAAAATGAAGTTCTCTTACTAAAGAATACGAGAAGATTAGACAATGCATTAAGCAATTTGCAATCTATCTGACATATGTCATTTTATTATTGCATGAAACAGAAAACATAATGATAAAGTAGCAGCCATTCATATAGGGTTTAAATTATCAATTATAAGAGATAAGGTAGTTATGTAAACTTTTATAAAAAATATTTCAAGAAAATTGTTGAGGGCTAAAAAGTAAATGGTAAAACAATATATTCAGTGCACAAAAACATTTATATAAATATGTACACATAATACTCTATAGGTAAGGTAAGAAAATTGGGAGTGGGGGTGGACAAAGAGGGAACATTACATGTTGTGATAACATGAAGTTCTAGTTGCTTATGACGAAAATGTTTTAGTACTAGAAAGGTGTTTCTTCCTAAACATGAGATGTAACATAAAATACAGAATTGAATGTATATATTTATGTATGTGTATATATATCTAAATACATGTAATACATTTCTGTATCTATATTTGTATATGTTTGTTTCTATATTTTATACTTTTAAATACAGGTTTTCATGTATAAATTTTGATAATTAATCCACCTGAAAATGTTTCTTTATCTGATGAGCCCTGACTTTATTTCTATCATATGACTATTGAACACATTAGTAAAATAAAGTAAAAGAATACAAAACACTCAATAGAAAAAATAACAAAACAGGATGGCATTTTAATTGACAAAGAATAATTGCATGTATTTGTGGGATACAATGTGATACAACCTGGAATGATTAAATAAGGCTAATTAGCATATACATCACTTCACTTATTTTTTGTGGTGAGACATTTGACATTTAATCTCTTAGCAATTTTGAATATACAATGCATTATTAATATAGTCACCATGTTGTGCAATAGATCTTAAAAACGTATTCTTCCTGACTAACTGAAACTTTGTACCGTTTGACAAACCTTTTCCCATTTCTTCTCCTGCCTCCAGCCTCTGGTAACCAACATTTTACTCTACTTCTATGAGTTTGATTGTTTAAGGCTCCATATATAAGTAAGATCATGTTGTATTTGTCTTTCTATGCCTGACTTATTTCACTTAACATAATGTTCTCCAGATTCATCCACGTTGTCAAAAATGACATAATTTCTTTCCTTTTTAAGGCTGAATAACCTTATAAACTTTATAAATAACTTATAAATAACTTTATAAACTTATAACTTTATAAACCTTCCATCAGGTTTATAAAACACATTTTTTAATCCATTTGTCTATTGTTGAACATGCATTTTGATTTCATATTTTGACTATTGTAAATAATGCTGCAATGACCATGGACACGCAGGTATCACTGTGATATATTGATTTCAATTTCTTTGGATTCTATTTTTATTTTAAAAAGTTCCCTCTGACTACTGAGTGAAGGTTTTATTGGTGCTAAGTAAGGGTGGAAAGAGACTCTAGTTTCAAGGATAGAACTGACACTGGCTTAGAATTAGGTGGAGGAAACTGGGATGAAGGAAAGTAGACTGATTTGAGCTATATTCTGTGTGGATAGAATTTGCTAATAGATTGAATGGGAGAGGTACATATAAGTATAATCATATTTCAAGGATCAATCCCTAATTATTTATTGAGATATGTACTAATGAGCATGTTTATCTCTTCTGAAGATTGGCACCTATTTGAACACGTTGTAATTTGTGGATTTTTTAGCTGAAAAATTACTTATAAAGTTTGAATGAAAGAAATGTATTCTGATAAAGCTTAATCCCAAAGAAATGTGTGTTAAGAATATTAATTTCTAATGGATCACTTACTATATAACAACTGAATTTGTTACCAAAACACCAGAGGTTTAGTCTAGGCCCTGCTGCTTACCACACAGAAATCCAATCAAGTATTGCCAAGTAAGAAGGCCTTAATCGGGTGCTGCAGCTAGAGATGGGAGCGCAATCTCAAATCCATCTCCCTGAACCACTAAAACCAGGGGTTTATATAGCAGGGGAGAAATGTAACACTGTATAAGAAAACAGGAACTAGGAAGGGGCAAGGAAGCAATCATGATGAGTGAGGGGTCTAAAGTCTCGTTATCTGGATGTGGTGATCTGGTGAGTTTCAATTCTTTGCTACTTTTTTTTTTTTTAGAGGACTGAAGGTTCTTTATTGAGGAAGGAACTCAGATAAAACAAATGCCAATTTCAAGCTTTAAGAACAGAAAGGTCAATTCCTATGTTTATCCAAAAGAACAGTCTATGGGACTATTGGGTCAGTTTCAAATTCAAAGGAGAAACATCAGAAAACTGATAAAGTCCAATGTTTCTGAAGCAACACTTGTGTAAGCGAACCAGGATTAAATAAATTTGCATCTATAATATTAAATAATTATATTTAATTATTAATATAAGGCAAGCCTTACTGGTTAGTCTGTATTAGGGAACTTTCCTTACATGTGCTCCAGGACATGTATTTGGGGAAAGGTTTCTGGTAGTAAAGGGATTAATCTCTACTTAGAAATCATTATTGTCTTTAATTTCAATGTTTTCAAATCTGAATTTACAAATCAAACGAAATGAACAATGGAAAAGTTAGCAGTTCTGCCCAAGGAGACTGGATTTATTTGGAACAGAGTATGGAAAACTACCTGCCTAAAGAATTGTCAAAAATGATTGAGATCTTAGTGGCGAGTGTTTAAGAGGAGGCTAGTAGCTCCAACATACCTGCAAAATGGCAAAACAGTCAGATATTTAATAGAACCAGGAAAAAAAAAAGACAGCCTAAAAAGCCTCCCTGAGATCCAAATTGACTCTGTGTTTCAGAAAGACCATTCACATGCTCTAGGCTGCACCCACTCAGGAGTAAGTATAGAAAGATACGGGACAGTGTTGAAAGCATTCACGAATCTACACACAGACCCATCAACATAAGGTGGAAATCTAATACAAGGCACTTAAATGCAACCTTTGACAAAACACTGAGTGAAAAATAAGCTGCACTAACCCAGCTACACAGGATTCTTTCAGTGCCACTTCACCAGATGGAAGCCTCTTTGGCCACTGGCACCTCTGCTTGAGTTTTGCTCACGACAGCTGGGCTAGCTCCACCCACTCAGCCTGGCAGGCTGTGCTTGGTTCATGCTACCAGCCCAGATCCCACGCTTCCCCGCGGGTGAGCTCAGCATGGAGCGATGAGGGATGTGTAAGCGAGGGAGCACAGGGTCCTGCCACTGCTCACAGCCAGGTGCACTGGCTTCTGCGGTGGGGCGGGCAGCTCCAGGCACTGGCACAGGCACAGGCACAAGCTCCAAGCGAGAGAGACTGTAGCTGGACCAACTGTGCCTCCAGCGGCTTCTGCCTTGGGCGCCGCTGTCTGGACTAGAGGAATGCACTGGTGTCCGAAGATTAAGAGAGACCAGCAACCGTGGAGCCCCAAGAGGTGTTAACGCCGTTTCGTATCTCTGGCTCGGGGAGTCCCAAGATTTGGGTGCCCAGAAGGGTCACAGCTCTTCTCTCCAAGTCTGGCAAATAGGAGGGTGTCACTGCCGGCAGCTCGGCGGGCAGGCCAGGAATGTGTTTTAGCTGGTTTGTGTTACAGCTCATTTGGTCCCACCGCCCCACTCAGGTCCATGGCTCCTGGGCTGGCCTGGCCTTACCACTGCTTCCTGTCACGTGGAAGGGCTACAGTGTTACAGCTGTGTTCGCACCTATGGTTCCGGGTTCTTGTCCTGCATCCAAGAAGAATGGTGTTACATGACAACTGGAGAGTGAGCAAGGTAGAGAAGAGTCTTACTGAGCCACAGAACAGCTCTCGACAGGAGAAGGGACCCAAGATGGGTTGCCCATACCCCGAGGCGAAGGAAGAAAGTCCCTAAGTGACACCGAGTCTGGGGTTTTTATGGGTTCAGAATGGGGGAGTGCATGCTGATTGGTCCATGGGCAGGCCTGGAAAAAGCACCATTCAATTGGCTAAAAGACATCAAGGAAGTTCTCACTCCGGGTCGCAGACTGCAACCAGAACTGGCAGCCCAGTTTTCAGACTTCAGACTGTCGTTGGCTTGAAAGTCGAGTTTCACGGGGCACCTGCCCCTTTCTGCCTGGGAATTTGTCTGTCTTCTGCTATCAGCAGGAGGAATTCTATTAAGTGAGAATAAAAACTAAATTACACCTATCACCTACAGTCTGGAAGACTGTGTGCATTCCCAAGACTATGCAAGTTTAGAAGTGATCATAGAACAAACATCCAAACCTCTATTTATAGGGAAATGGGGGGCAAAAAAGCAACTTCCAGAGCTGTTTGTGTGGCCTTCAAGCCACACAAACATGCACTAGTGAAGAGTAAAAATCTAATGAGGTAAAGTAGCTTAAGAACAACTTTTGACCAGTAAATGCTTATGTCAGCCCAGGGGCAATTTCTGGGTAGCTAGAATAAATGATAGAGGGAGAGAAAAGGAAACAGAGCAGGTACATGAGAGACTGAACACTGCAGGGGATGTACACTACAGAATTTGTACAGCCAAGCCTCCAGACAAATAGATGACAAGCAAAGAACATAACCTCCAGTAAGAGATCATTATTGAGTATTATTGCAATATTTTATCTAATATATCCGATTTTTAGCAACAAGAAAAATTGAGGACATGTAAATAATGTGTAACTCATGCATAGAAAAAACAAGCAAACAACAACAAAAAAACAGGTAATAGAATCTCCAAGTAGAATAAACTCAAGGAGATTCACACCCAGACACATCATAGTCAATAGTGAAACCCAAATAAATCAATAACTGAAGGAGATTTGATGAATTCGTGAATTTGTAGAAATTAAGCTGCTCAACTGCATTACTCAACAGGTAAATTCAAATCAAAACTGAAATGACATACCACTTCCCCACCCACTAGAATTGCTATAAGGAAAAAGACAATTAATAACAAGTACAAGCAATCCTCACCCTTTTCTGGTGGGAATGTGAAGTGGTACAGTGACTTTGGAAAGCAGTCTGGCAGGTCTCCAAATGGTTAAACACAGAGATATCATATTACCCAGCAGTTTCACTTCTAACTATATGATCAAGAGACATGTGCACGTGTCCACACAAAACCTGTACACAAATGTTTATGGCAGCATAAATTATAATGGTCTAAAGTGTCATAACTCAAATGTTCATCAATAAACAAGTAAACAAATGTTGTATGTCCATACAATTAAATATTATTTAAATATAAAAAAGGAGTATCCTACCAATATTTGCAAAAACACGGATTAACCTGAAAGCCTTAAGCTAAATGAAAGAAGTCAGATACAAAAGGAAACATATGGCATAATTCCATTTATTTGAAACATCACATAGACAAATACATAAAGTCAGGATGTAGATTAGTAGCTGCTGGGAGGTGGAAGCGGGATGGAGATTGACTGCTTACTAATGTTTATAAGATTTCCTTTTGGAGATATGGCAATGTTCTAAAATTAGATTGTGATGATGATTGCACAACCTTATGACTATAGGTAAGACATTGAATTACACACTTTAATAGGCAAATTATAGGCTATATGAATCACATCTCAATAAACCCATTAAAGTTGAAAATAAGCCAATTCTGAAGTTGTATTTATCACCCCTTTATCATGCTTACAAAGATGCTAGATTTTTCAAAACACTAAAATTAAATTTCTTACACATCAAGCGATGTATGAAGACAGTCAATTCACAGTTCTGAAGAAGACACATGGCTCCTACATAAAATTGATCAAATTAGTTAATATTTATGTCATTTTTAAACAATTTGATATTTTAATTTGGCAATTTTTATAAAACCTATCCAAATTTTACAAAAACATTAATGTTCATAGATCATAGGTGTCATATGAAATCAGTACCTTGATATCTATCAAAACTAATTTTTAGAGACCTATTATATGGAGAAAACTGTTTTCTAAAGCAATTTCATTATCTTATTTAAAAAAATAATTTTGCAAGCTTACTTTCCTGAAAAAGCAACTGACACTTTGCTTTTAAAACTTGATGTACTTACCAAAAAAAGACAAACTGGGATTTTACTATATGCTATGTTTTTCCAAATGTCAATGTTCACTCTTATGCTACAGCATAGTAATTCTATGAGAAAGATTGCTTATAGAATGTGTAAAATTTGCCTGATTCATATTTTTGGAATCATAAGTATTTGAGAGCATTACCTATAATAATAATATAATTTGATTCCTAAATTAGGTAACCTGTCAAGAGTTCGTACAATTATTGAATATTTTCATATCTCAATTATGTTAAATAATTTCTGTTACTCAGTGTTCATAATCTCAGGGTTAAATGGCACTCTGAAAAAAATCTATGTAATACTTTTCTGCTCAATTGTAGTTCTAAATGATGACTTACCACAAAGACTGTTAAACAATACTTTCTCTGTGATATTCAAGAGGAATTTACTACTACGAGTTTTCTATAAAATAAACTGTTAAGATTCTGAGAGTTATGCTACAATAATTTTCATATAAAGGCACATATATTTATGTACTACCACAAGATAGACTAAAATTTTTATGTTCTGCATATACAAATCCATTTCCCATTGTCTTTGTTGTTTTCAGAACTAAGGATTTAGTAAGTTAAATTATGTTTCCCACAGAGAATTAAAATCAATTAAATCCCTCCTGTGAATTGCATAAATGCCACATAAACACCTTTTGTTCAACATTCAATAATGCAGAGAAATGGCACATTTAAGGGCCTGCATGTTGGAACCACTGTTATAGCCCAATATGGTAGCCAAAATTTAGTCTGATGTTTTAGAAATTAGTTAAGATTTGTCTTAATTTATTATACTTCCAAACTTATTAAGAGAATCAGTATATTGCCCCAGTGCCATTTGGGCAAATACATAAAAATAGTCCAGTTAGAGAAAGCTGAATGAGGAAAAGCAATGAAAATGAGAGAAGGCATGCTTCTTTTCAGGGAAATGGAAGCAGATGAGAATTCAAGAAACAAAGTTTCAGCGATACACAGGCAGAAGATTAAACTTAAGCAATAGGCAAGAACAGATTAAGAATACTAGGCCCTGTCATGTTAATTTTCATCCTGATATAATGGGAAGCCAATAAATGATTGTGAACAGGGATATCATATTACAAATTTTCTATTTAGAATAATTAGTATGATGAGAGATTTGAGAATATGATAAAAGAAATGAAGCTCAAGACTGAAATATGGATATGGAAAATATGGATATATTAATAACCGAAGCAAGAGATGACAGGGTCATGAACTATGGAGTGTTAAAAAAAATTTGACAGATTTTTAAGATATAAAGTTAATATGACTTAGGTATCATGGTAGTTTTGTTACTGGTGGCAGAGATCTGAGTTACCCTGTTACTGGCTGCCTATCTGTATGGGTCCGTAGCAACTTCAGTCCTTGCCTCCTCAGAAGAAAGAATTCGACTGAGGGGCATCAAGTAGAAAAAGAGACCAAGGCAAGTTTCAGAGCAAGAGTGGAAATTGATTAAAAATGCTTTAGAATAGGAAAGAAAGGAAAGAACCCCTGGAAGAGATCTAAGTGGGCGCCTGAAGGTCAAAGAGAGAAAAAGGAACCCTGTTAACCTGATTCTGGGACTTAATAGTTTCCCCTCTTTCCCATGATTCTTCCCCCAAGGTGGGTTTTCCGCATGAGCAGTGCTTTCCTTACCCTTAGGATTGAGCACACGCAGTGTCCTCAGAAAGCTATACATGCCCATCTGAGGCTTTTTTCCGTTTTCCGATGCCACGTGTCCCCAGAACGTCATACTTCACCATTTGTCTCTTAACACACATGCCCAAGTAGCTGCTGCTCCCTGGGGCTTGCATTCATTGAACACTTTTAATATTAACAGGTGTGGACCATCAGGAGATTGTATCTTGGCGGGGCACGGTGGCTCACACCTGTAACCCCAGCACTCTGGGAGGCCAAGGTGGGCGGATTACCTGAGGTTGGGAGTTCAAGACCAGCCTGACCAACTTGGAGAAACCCCGTGTCTACTCAAAGCACAAAATTAGCCAGGCAAGGTGGTGCATGCCTGTAATCCCAGCTACTCGGGAGGCTGAGGCAGGATAATCACTTGAACCCGGGAGGCGGAGGTTGCGGTGAGCTGAGATTGCGCCATTGCACTCCAGCCTAGGTGACAAGAGCGAGACTCCATCTCAAAAAAAAAAAAAAAAAAAGAAAGAAAAAAAAAAAACATTGTCTCTCCCTGGTTGCCGAATTACGATTTTTAGAGAAGCAATGTGATAATTGTTGAACCATCACCCGACATTTGTAGTGGGTGGGGGATAGCCCTCTCCTGCTCTGCGTATGCCTAACTACCTGTAACAGCTTCATTGACTCGAAATTGTCTTCCAAACTGAAAAGGACACTTAAGGTAATAGAATCTAGGTGAGAGTAGATGGGATGATTTTTGAGAGGAATATGTTGAACTTCAAGTAGAAATGTCCAGTACAATTTGGGGAAAGAGTCTGCATTTCACTAAAGCGATCTGAGTTGGAAGCATCTAATTATCAAATATGGGTAGTAGAAAAAGACGTGTAAAGTAGACATTATCAAGTAGTAGAAAATAATAGAATCAAGTTAGTAAAATAAGAGAATTTAAAGTTTATGCTATCAATAACTTCCACATTCTTACCTCTCTGTCCCATCTTCTCGACATGTCATTTGCTATAGTTGACTTCTTCCTTGAAATTTTACCTTCATGTGGCTTCGCTTCTGTGACACCTTATTTTCTTGTTTTCTCCTATCTCGTGTACAGTCTCCTTTTCTAGATTCTCTGTCTTTCTCTGTGACTGAAAAAGCCTAAGGCTCAGTGTTCTGATCTCTTTTCTACTAAAGCTATTTACTAAACAGTGTCTTTACCCAACACATGCCCTCTCAATCTATTTATCATAGTCAGTGATAGTTTTAAATATAATCCAGATATTACTCCTCTGTTTAAAATCTCCGATGGCTTTCAAACACATTCACAGGGCAATGTAAGTACTTACAATGCCCTATGAGGCTCTGTGTTATCCGCCCTCTCTGAAACACGTTCACTAATAGCCAGTCCCAAGGAAATACTCTCAATGCGTAAAACACAGCAGAGATCATCACTAGGTGAACTACCAGGAATAGGAGTCGAGTGCTTCCACCTACGCCATCCTCCTCTTCAACGTTGCTAATACCTGAGTCTAGTGAGACAGAACACACTCACATGCCATAGTTTGTATGAGGCGAGTTTACTATGTGCACATGGCTGCAAGGGAAAATGTAGGCCTGTTTTTTTGTGAGCCAGTCCCCCAAGGCTCAAGAAAGCTGACTAGCACAGATAGTGCATGTGCCTCCACTTACACTACAGCTGAAGGACCCTGAAAGGCAGCCCGCCCAATCTGGTTTATATACCTTATGGGCCATATGACTTGCTGTGCAAAACTTTCAAGTACATCCTGCTTCCAGGGGAGAGAGAAACAAAACCTTGGCTGACTTGGGCATTTCCTTCCTGACTCACAATGGTACATTCCCTAACAAGGACAGGAACAAAGCTTGGGCTGTTTCAGGCAGTTCCTCCCTATCTCAGGCTGTTGTGTTTTCTAAGCACATGACTCACACTGACAGGTCAGAGCCTTTTCACTTACTGTTTACACTGTCTACAATGAGCTTCCTCCAGAAGGTCACAGAATATTTTAGAGCCTTAGGTTTCTCATCAAATGTCCCAAATAAGAGAAGTCTTCCATGCATATCATACCTTAAATAGCATCCTTATGCCACCAGTTCCTGAGTGCTCATGTGCTCTACTTACATTTTCTTCTGTACAGTGATCACTCAGGAAATATTATTTTCTCAGCCCACAATATGATCAACACATGAAATGTTTCTGTTTAGTCCTCTGAAGAGTTCCTGATATCTACAGTAGCATCTGACATTTATAGGTACTCAATTGATATTTCTTGAGTGACTAAATGAACAAATACAATTAAGGTCCAGGTATAGGTAGTAGATTCTGCTAAAGCAGCTGGAAAGGTACAACTCAAGATAAGGAGATAAATCTTTCGGAGCTCATAGCTGCACAAAGGAACACCCACTTTAACTTGTTTAAACAGGAAAGTAATTTATTTAAGGACATCTGGTAATTCAAAGGATCTCCTAGAAGACCAGATTTTTAGTCTCAGAATTAAGAATTGCATAATACTCACCACACACTGTGGTAGTTCTCCAGTGGAAACTCCACAACTGGGCACAAACAATCCAGAGGACACTGCTTACACTGGGAATTGGATAATAGATCCTTGGCATTGCTGCCCTAAATCTTATATGAAGAATGGATTCCATGTGGTGCCCATTTCTTCACATTGTTGATTGTTACATCTAAATCTCACTTAAATGTATCTAATTAGTGGAGGCCAAATAATAGGATAACATCTGTGTATATGACAGGCAGGGAAAGTGAAATATCTGATTTCTACACTGGAATGGCAGGCTTTATACACTGGACTATTAGCGCAATTAGGAAGAGCATTTGAATAGTGTTTGAGAACCCCTAGAGGAAGAATGAGGAGAGTGGAAACAAGTTTTAAAATTACAATACAAAGGAACTTGCTATCAAAGTAAAACATTAGGGGAAGCAGTTAATTCTTTCAAGCAATATTTATTGAATGCCTCCTAGCAAGAAACACCTGGACCCTATACTACAGTAGCTGACAATGATGGGAAAGATTAACATCTAAGCAAACAATTGCCACTGAGGTGGAAATTCTTTGCCAAGAGAATTACATCGTGCTGTAGGACCAAGTCTGGAAAGGGAAGGGGAAACTTTTTGGAGGAAATAATTTTAGCAGATCACTTAAAAATGTTTTTTTGTTTTGTTTTGTTTTTGTTGTTGTTAAGTGCAAAGCAAAAAAAGGGAAGGGGAGTTTAAGGAGACGAAGCAGTGGTGAGATTTCACATAGATTTCAGGTACAAGAATCCGTCTAAGTCCTGATAGTGGGGAGAATGTGGCAATTTTAAGTAAATGATAAAAACTCATTATGCCAGCACTTTGGGAGACCAAGGCGGGCAGATAGCAAGGTCAGGAGTTCAAGACCAGCCTGACTAACATAGTGAAATCCCTTCTCTACTAAAAATACAAAAATTAGCTGGGCATGGTGGCACATGCCTGTAATCCCAGCTACTCAGAAGGCTAAGGCAGGAGAATCGCTTGAACCCGGGAGGCGGAGGTTACAGTGAGCGAGGACCTCGCCACTGCACTCCAGCTTGGGTGACAGAGTGAGACTCCATCTCAAAAACACACACACACACACACACACACAAAACAACTCATTATGTCTGATCGGGTTGAGTTTTACAACTAAGATGGCCTTGATGCCTTTTTCCAGAGCAGTTCTGGAGGATAATCCATGTGGAATAATCCAATGTTTTAAAAATTAACCAGATAATAGTAGAGTGAAGGGAAAGTGGATCATTTATTTTAAAGGCTTGAATAATAAAAGAAGGGAAACTATAGTGAGACAAATGGTCAGACCGATTTTAAAAGAGTTTAATATGCTATGAGAAAAAAGCTAGGATTTTAATGTAAGAAACACTAGAAAAGGAATGATGAATCCAAAATGATTATTGAAGCAAAAGAAAGATTAGGCCATACCTGGTTAGAAGAATTTGCTTATGAATGAAAGGGGGATGACTATTCGTGGAGATAAGGAAAATGAAACACGTTGATGAAAACCTTTGTCAAAACAATCTATTACTGAATAAAATTATGGAGCTCGTATCTACACGTTAGAGCATTTTCCATATAAAATTCATTTTCTATCTTGTACATAAGAGGTAGTCTAATAGTTATCTCCTATACTGTGGGTTTTTATAGTAAAACAATGGTAATAAAAATTCTCCAAAATCAGTGACTTTTGTACTTTTAAGATTATTGGCAACTTGTTACACATATAAACTTTCTGAGCCAGGTGTAGTGGTGTGTGCCTGTAGTCCCAGCTACTCAGAGGACTGTGGCTGTCATGGTGCCTGTGAATAGCCACTGAACTTTAGTCTGGGCGTCACAGCAAGATTGCATCTCTAAAATATATAGAAATAAGCCTGAGCAACATAGGGAGACCCTGTCTCTTCAAAAAATAAAAAAATAAAAAAACACATTAGCTGAGGGTGGTGCTGCTTGCCTATGATCCCAGCTACTCTGAAGGCTGAGGTGGGAGAATTGCTTGAGCCTGGGAGGCCAAGCCTGCAGTAAGCTGTGATTACATCACTGCACTCCTGCTTGGGCAACATTGTGTGTGTGTATATATATATATATGTGTGTGTGTGTGTATATATATATGTGTGTATATATATATGAATATTTGGAAAGTTATATATATAATTTTATATAAATATATATATATAAATATAAATAATTATATATAACTATATACATAACACACACTCTCTCTCTCTCTCTCTCTCTCTCTCTCTCTATATATATATATATATATATATATAGTTATGTATATGGAATACCACAGCCTTAGTGTATGGCAAACCACAAATCCTGAGATTACGGAAATTTTCCAAACTAATTTCAGTTGAAATCTATTCAAATAAATGGACTGCAAAGCAAAGGATTGTGATCAGTTCCTTAAACAAAGTCACACTGTGTTATGTACTGGAGGCTTATAGGCATAGTGCCATCTCACTATGTGTTTTCCTTAAGCACTATAAACATGCCAAAAGGCTGCTCTTAAAGGATGGTATATTTCCCTCTTGTTATCTTCTAAAGGTGCTTTTGATTATCTTTCTGAGATGTATCCCCTTGATAGATACAGCTTCTAGTACTGAGAATAAACAGTGATTTATTTTTTTCCTTATGCCATATGCCCTTTTATTTATCTCATCCCTTAATTTTCTTATCTGTTGTGAAAGCTTCACATGTATCTCGTTGATGTATGATGACACATCACATTATTTCTCCTGAGGTTATATTTTAGATTTTTAATCACCTTTTTTTAATTAATGGCAAACAAAGACAGATGAGTGGAGAGTAAAGGGGTTATTTGTACACATATTTTACTGCAGTAGCCTAATTTTTTCCAAAGGTGATGCTCATCTCCAACTTGAGTTATTCATTAGTTTATTTAAAATCCTATTTATTAGGCCAGGCACTGTGGCTAATGCCTGTAATCCTAGCACTTTGGGAGACTGAGCGGGGAGGATCACTTGAGCCCAGGTGTTGAGAGCAGCCTGGACAACATAATGAGATTCCATCTCTACTAAAAAAAATTTCAAAAGTAGCCAGCCATGGTGGTGCTCATCTGCAGTCCCAGCTACTCAAGAAGCTGAGATGGGAAGATCAATTGAGCCCAGAGGCTACAATGAGCTATTATTGTGCCACTGTACTCCAGAATGGGGAACAAAGCAAGATATATATATATTCCTACTATTATATTCTCAGCCCTGTGTGCGTGGCAACAGAATGCAAAGAAAAGTAAGGTAACTATCTATGCTCAAGAACTATAGAGTATATGTACCTTAGGTATCTATGCTCAAGAACTATAGAGTATATGTACCTTAGGTATCTATGCTCAAGAACTATAAAGTATGTGTACCTTAGGGGAAGAAATTATAGCTTACAACTAAGAATTCTCAAATAATAGCACAGCAAAAATCATGAGAGAGAATTAGGGCGTCTCATTGTATAACTCTTTAAAAATCTTTCTATTTAATCTATAGCTCTTACTCAACAATTCAACAATACAATAAATTATCATAATAATTCACTTCATGAATGTCATCAGAAATTGGAGGCATGGCTATGTTTTGGTTTGAAAGTGGTATTTGGGTGGCTTATGCCTGTAATCCCAGTGCTTTGGGAGGCTGAGCTGGACAGATTGCTTGAGCCTAGGAGTTTAATACCAGCCTGGGAAAAGTGGTGAATCTTTGTCTCTCCAAAAAAATATGAAAACTAGCCTGGGCAACAGAGAGAAACCCTGTCTAAAAACCAACCAAACAAAAAAGCAATATTTGATTCTAAAATTCATTTTTATAAAATGTTTCTAATACTGAGTCAACCTAATCCATTTTTAAGAAACTTGACAAAAATAGGCAAAGAAGTTTTTACAATACATATCATTTTGTATTACATTTGAGTAATGTAATTATCATATATTTTAAAATAATATTTTATACAAAATCAGTTATGTGTGTGGAAGGATAATAAATACATCGAAGGGTTAAAATGCAATAATGCATCTTAATTGTGATTGTAAAGGTCATATGCTTTTTAAAATTATATGCAGCAGGATGCTTTAGAGATCTTTCTTTGAGGATTTCTTTTTTTCACTTAAGAACATAATAAAATAATAAATAATCATATATGAAGTATGTGTTAATATCATTAACCTTTTAAAACCTTTCCAAAATACCAAGTTTTCCTATAACTTGCATAATAAATACTTTTATATTTTTATATAAAATATGCATTTATTTTTTCAGTATTTTCTTCTGTCAAAATAACATTAAAATATTTTTAACATATATGATATTAGTTCAGCAAATACTATAAGCACTTATAAATTTGATTATTGTGCACTGTAAACCATTCTTTATCTAGGAACTTTATTAGCATGTTATTTCCCAGATTTAATAGATACAGTCTTTGTATCAATATTTGTCCTTTGAGAATGTGTTCATTTTCTGCTTCCATTGTTCCTTTCCTGATTGGGAACCTCTTAGCTTACCATCTGCTAGGCTTTACACATACAGATGCAGTCTGTGGTAATATGTAATCAAAAATATGGAATACCTTGAAATTGAATATATGTACATATTTTATTTAGCATCACATGTGCCTTTGAATGCAAGTGAATATAAAACTAATGTCTAAATAATCATGGTACAGTAATGTTCATTAAAATATATCACCAGCCTTGAAATTCACTACAATGGAAATAAGACACATGCAAATATTGTCATTAATAAAAATCACCTTGGGTATTGTGACAGCATTAATACCACAGAAGTGAATGGGACTTGGCTGCATATTAAGTTAAGTCAAAGTGAACCTTTCCATAAGATATTGCAATTAAAGTATTTTATTAACATGTCTGTGTTTGAGGACAGAGTTTTCTATAATTATGACAGATGAGGTCGAGCTTTCAAAGTGTTTTGCATAGGTAGGTAAACCGATTTAATATTTTGAATAAAATTATAAACAAAGGTGTTGTGTACTGTACAACTAGGCCAGGAAAAGGAAATATAATTCACAACACCTCTTTTTCATCCTTTCTCATATATGTGTATGTGTGAGAGAGAGATTGTGTGTACGTTCTTGCATGCTACAAAAAGAACTTGTTTGAGTGTCTGAGGAAGATTACTTGCCTCTTTTACCAGTCAGCAAACTTTAAAATATTGGCTTTATTAATTTTATCTCAGACATTGCTTTGCTCTTTATCTCTTACAATGACTGCTTATATCTAGCAAGATCTTTATAAAGTTGAAAGGTGAAGACTTCACCTTTCAACTTTATAAAACAGCAGGTCATTTCCAAGAGACCCTTATTTATCATTAAAACTCTGCTTTTATGGTTTGAATGGGATCCTTGACTATTCTTTGTATTCATTTTGGCTGTATGTGGTAAGCAAGTATTCAATGGAAGAGGAAGACAATAACACAAAAGAATATGTGTGTCTAACTTCAGGAAACATTGTTCTTTGTGTTAATGCTAGTGACATTTCAAGGTCTATTCCATAGTGCTCTCCCAGTGCTAGAGTCACCAAAAGAAAACACAGCGCAAAACCAGTGTAGTATGCAGCCACTATCTCCCTGCAATAGACAATACTATCTGTAGTAATGTAAACATAGGCAGTTTCTTTTCTCCTTATTTCTATTAATTTCTACCTTCAACTAGACCTGAATTCTAAATATTTTAACACTTCCCTACTCCATAATTAGCTCTTGCCACAGCAACTTAAATGTGAGGAATGGCACTTTTCTCTCCTTCACTAATATTTCCCATATTGCCACTATTTAGAGATTTCATCATATTGCTGAGAGTAAAAATTATCCCATTGTGACAGATGGGAAAAATAAAGCTGAAAATGTTATATATTGGCTTTAGTTAGTAGTTAGAACAAGAGCTCAGAAACTCAGGCGTTCATTCCCAATCTGTAAAACTCAGTAGGCCAAAGGAGTAGTATTTTGGATTTTTTTGTTGTTGTTTCTTGTTTTACAAGTTGCTATTTTAAACCATCCCAAAGTTCACATCTGGCATGCCGGAATGAGGTCTTTAAAGTGTTCATGTCACTGTGTGACCCTTCAGCTGTTATCTTTGAATAGAATACAGTACATGTCTTGAGGAAGGAAAAAGCTTCTGAACCACAACAACCCTGAGTGAAAGGCTTTGGCACTACCCGCCAGTGTTAATTCCACTTTATTTCAAAGGCTATCCTGGTGAGAAAATTTTAAAAAGGAAAAAAAAAACCACAAAAAGAAATATCTTAAGACTACAATCTGTCACTCTTTATGAAACATCCAAGAAAGTAGGCTGCAAAACTCTAGGAAAGATTATCTATATTCATAAAATCCTGATTCACTTCCAAAGGTGCATCCTAGTTATTAACACTACTGTTCTAAAATTTTCCCTCTAGTCTACTCAGTAAAATTTCATGTAGTAGCATTCTTAGGAATTTGTCATAGTAACAGACAGAGAAAGAAAAAAGAAACAAAAGATATTTTCAAGAAATATTTGTTAATTAAAATCAATATCTCAGCTTTAACTTTGAGAAATATGCTAAAATACCATAATATTAATAGAGTGTACCCTTTTGGGGGATATCGTGACTAGTCATCAATGTCATAAGTTTAATCTGTTTCTACAGTTTCTTCTTAACGATTTTAATCCCTTGGTGGCGGGTGAAGAAATGTGAATCTTCAAGAATGATAACAGAGATCCATTTTAATAAATGTCAATGACTATATAAAAAGAGGAAAAAATTACATGAAGGATAATTTTTACACTTCTTTACCAAGCATATCTTTCTTAATTATGGACTGTGTCATCATGCACCTTCAAAAATGCTAAATCATTTTACTTGTGGGAGTCAAAGGTGGGCAGGGAAGACACGTCTCTAAACTTGGCTATGTGTTGTGCAGGGTAAATGCCAGATGGTACATACAAAGAAAGTGGCTAAAACTAACAGTGCTCTTGCTGTTGTCCATGTGTCAAAGAGAAGAAAGTGGTCTAGCGTAGAGAGAATTTCTCAAGAATTCTGTGGCCCATGTAATGAGGTTGAGAATGGGGGTGAGACTGGAGGGGATTATCCATAGCACACTGTATATGCCCTCAAGAAACCTAGATCATTTGCCTTTTAGTAAACATTTCATTATATCAAGGAATATTTAGTAGAAATAGATTTGAAAAATTTGCTCTCAGAAGTTGTTAGTAAGACTAACAATGAAGAATCTCCAGGAGGTGATGGGGTTAGTAAAGAGCATGCATTTATCTGCTAAATGAATCATTAATGCATCCCTGAGACACTGGGAAGGGAGGGGAAATTGATGTTATAACACTAAAGAGCTTCACAAAGGCCCCCTGTAGATTTATCTTTTTTTCTCCTTGATAGAGGAAACCAAGAAGTCATAAGGAAAGTAACTTAATTAGACAGTGACATCTTTTTTACCTAAGTCAATGAGAGAGTGGGTACTGAGAAAGGCAGAGAAAAACAAGCAAGACTCGCAAACCACGTGTTATAGACGAGCCTGTGTTAAAAACGTGTGAGCTAATTGAAGGATGTGTCTGAGTTTCTATTGCCTCTATTCCAGTTATCTAAATTTACATTACACTCTATTTCTGAAGATAGATAGGTGTGTGTGTGTGTATTCACTTTACAGTGATCACATCAATAAATCTGTAGTTTGTAAATGTGAGAAAAGTTTTTCCCTCTAAGAATAATGGTTTAATTTGTTTTATTACTTAGGTTTCATTTACAGGTGTTAGTGTACCGAAATGAATCACGTATATTGATGATTTTGTTTATCCTTTAAATATTACTTGAATATCAACCTCCTAATGACAACAATCATTTTCTTCCTAGCTATTTTGAAGGTAATAAATGGCAATACACTGCTTGAGAAATGTATGAATTTGTTATTTATTGAAAAAAAATAAAAAACTTAGAAATCCATGTAGACAATTATATACATTACTAACAGGGTTTAATTGTTTTATTACATAGTAGCTACCATTCTAATTCATTATATATTTACTCAATGCTTAAATTAATCTGCCTAGTTTTCTGCACTTTGAACATAAAACAGTAATACGATGTCTATGGTGTAAGCTTGTATCCCACGTTAGAAAGGGAGGTCTGCATTCAGGGAATCCTCTCTTCTGAAATTTCAGACTATATTTTATTGCTAGCCATTGTCTTAAAACTTCTGTTCCTCTTATCACGAAGAGGTCATAACAAGATATTATACATACTTCAGAACCAATTCGTTGCTACATGTTGAATATATGCTAGAGCAAAAACATTATTGGTTATTACTTTGTAAAATACAGACAAGAACTCCCATAGAGGATAAAGGAAATTGGGATTCCTAATGTATGAACAAGTAGTAGGATGCGTATATATTTTTAAAGTAATAAATCAGAGTGAAAAACATTTTACTACTAAGAAAATAATTATAAAGACTAGATCCCAGTTTTCTCACAAAATATGTCTTAATCATTAATATAATTCAAGTGTATGCATTCATTAGGCGTTAGCAATTATAATAATAGCTAATATTTAGTGTTTTCCAACTGCTTTGTTTATACTGTCTCTTGAAACCTTTATCAAATTCCTATGATGTAATTATATGCACCTGCAGCTGGGACTACAGGTGCGCCACCTGTAAAAATATGCACCTGCAGCTGGGACTACAGGTGCGCCACCACGCCCAGCTAATTTTTGTATTTTTAGTTTCACCATATTGATCACTCCTGACCTTGTGATTCACCCGCCTCGGCCTCCCAAAGTGCTGGGATTACAGGCATGAACCACCTCTCCCGGCAATGTAATTATTACTAAATGCATTTCACAGATGGAGAAATTGAATTCTATAAAGTTTAAGTATCATCCAAGAAACAGAGATAGAAAGTTGTAAACACACTTTAATCTCAGATTTTTCTGATACCCGAAATCCTCTTCCATCAGTGGGGTGGGCGTAGAGGTGAAGTTAAATCACGCAAAAAAAAAAAAAAAAAAAAAAAAGAGCACTGGCCCATCCTAAACAGGCTAGGTAGAGCTTCTCTGGGAGTCTTTGTTACCTGAGTCAAGGACAATTAGAGTTTGTTGCCCCTCATAATTGTATCCATAGTGACTGCAAAGCAAGGTGGGCAATAATAATTTTTGCATTAAATGAATATGTTCACGTATGCCCAAGTCATTCCTGCATATTGAGTTTCAGAACCATGATCTTAGATCCACAAGCTATGTAAATAAATATATAATATTTCCAATCACAATTACAAGTGTAAGAGAAAATTGGAAATCTACATATTACTTTTTCTCAAAAATTATATATTAATATTTTAATAGCTGAAAATAAGCATTAGTATTCTCATTGACATTTTTCTTTTCAATAGATATTTGTTCTATCTTGTGAGAATATAGATTTCTTCAAGTGGGTCTCAATAAAATGATTTTCAATTCAAGTAAAAAATATTTTTATCTCCGAAGATAGAGTTCATGTTCTACATAGTTTCAATGACAGTAGGTAGAAAAATATTTATAAACAGAGAAAATTGGTAGAATTAGCATGGCGATCACTCATACAGCACTAATGACTTTGTAACTTCAGTATATTCCACAGCAAAAGCAGAGGGTCTCACCAATGTGAGAACAAGGTTGAAAATTTATCAGAAAATAGGAATGCATTAATTGTCAAAACATTTCAATGACAAAGATGGAAACTATCATTATTCCAGAGAGTTATTTAAAACCAAGAATAAATCCATTGTTACCTATATTTGCTACAATGATGGTAAAATATATTACCACTAGATATTACTGAAAGAAGGGAGTTCCCTGATCCTGTCATAGGACTTGCAACAGGGGTGTGGTGTGTTTGTTTAGCTGCCATAGGCTCAAACCCCTTATGAGAGGGGGGCCTGCAGACAGGCAGGTGCAGGAGCTGGGGTGAGCACTTTTGGGCTTTGACCCCATGGTAGCATCTAAGGGTGTGTTACAATTAATGCTCTTTTAGCAGTTGCTATCCGTAGATGGCTAAGTGTTAAACCAGCTCAATGGAGAGTCAGGGTGACAGCTTTTTACACCCTACCCTCTTGGTACCTGAGTCCTTGTCTGGCATACAGGAAGAATCAGGTCACTCGAACTTGACACAAGGTAAATTCAGGGATTTTCTTGTGTGTGGAGGTGGCTCTCAGTGGGATGGATGAGGAGCTGGAAAGGGGATGGAGTGGGAAGACTTCCTCCTCTGGAGTTCAGCCATCCCACAGCTGACTTCCTCTCCAACCATCCTCAGCTGAATTCCTCTCAATGTCCAGATACTCCTTTCTTCTCTCCTTCTATGCCACGCTGCTCTGCTGCTCTTCTGCTCTTCCATTTGTAAAGCCTGGAGTTTGGGGTTTATATGGGTACAGGATAGGGGGGTGTAGTGTGGGAAAAGTCAACATTTGGGTGGAAAAACAGGAATGCCTGTTCCCATTTAGGGTTGCAAGTTTCCGGCTTGAGGGTGGGGTTTTTGCTCAGGAACTGCCCTCTTCTACCCAGTAGTTCCCTGCCTCCGGTCTGTATCATTACAGCTAGATAATATATGACTATGTATACTTATTTGCATCCCCACTGCCTCTTTTCTGTTTACTGTCTCTACAATCTGTTTCAGCTTTTGCAAAAATCTGTGTCTAAAGGATTCTACATAAAATTATTCCTGTTACTCAAGCATTTCTTAGAAAATTTAGTTGGAAAACATTAGCAAGTAAGTGCAGATGTGTTAATTGCAGCATTTTCTGTAATAAAAAATATGATAAAGCAGTATAAATTTCCATTGGTTATGCACCAGTTCTGTACATCCTGTTACATTAATAAGATAGAATATAATTCAACCATTAGATAAAAAGCTGGTAATTAGCATGGAAATCCAAGCAAAGTGAAACAAAACAAAATAATAATCTGAAGAACTCATTGCAAAACAAAATTATAGAATAATACAAATTTTTATAAAATGCAACACATTGTGTTATACATAAATGCACTTTCCCTGTTTTATAAATATACATAGCATGTCATCCGCTGCCCCTCCACTTAATTTTTCAACTCTCTCTCTTCTCTACCTGTATACCTGGAATGTACTATACATTCCAGCTGCTAACCATTCCTTAAGCATGACTTTTACTATAAAAATAATGAATTTTTTCATTTTTGGTGGGGATCTGTTCAATAAATATAATAAATTTATTATATTTTTACCCCAAGTCTGCCTTTTGAAATCCTGGAAGCATAATCCCCTCTTATCCATGAGTGATACTTTCCAACCTGAACCCATAAAGAGTGTCAGATCCTACATATACTATATAGTTTTTCTACACATAGCTACATATGATAAAGTTTAATGTATAAATTAGAGTAAGAGATCAACAACAATAAGTAATAATAAAATAGAATCAGTAAGTAAAAATAAAGGTTACTTCACCATAAGCACTGCATACCACAGCCAGAGATCTGATAATTGAAATGGCTACTAAGTGACTCATGAGTGGATGTATTGGACAAAGAGATAATTAATATCCCAGGCTAGATGGAGTGGCTTGGTTCAAGAATTCATCACACTACTCAGAACTGCACAAAATTAAAAACATATAAATTGTTTATTTCTAGAAATTTTTACTTAATATTTTCCCACCATAGTTGACCATGAGTAACTGAAACTGTGAAAAGTGCAACGTTGGATAAGGGAGCACTACTGTGCTTCTCTATGGTAAACTCAAATGTGACCTCTTTCAGGAAGTTTTTCATAATTCCCACAGGGGTTATCAAGCTTAGAACTACTTAGTTTTTGGCCCAAATAATTTCTTGTTGTAAGGGCTGTCTTGTGAATTGTAAGACGTTTAACGGCATCCCTGTCTTCTACTTCCTGTATGCCACAGCCCCCCTAGTTATGAAAACCTCAAATGTCTATAGACATTTTGAAATGTTCATTGTGTGTGTGTGTGTGTGTGTGTGTGTGTGTGTGTGTAAGGGGGAGGGTGTTTGTCTTTTGTCTGCAAAATTTCTCCTGGTTGAGAACCGCTGTCCTAGTAGAGCACTGTCTCAATCACTCTTCACACTCTTATGATACTTTATTTGTACAGAACTTCTCTTTTAGCACATATCATCTTCATGTCACATTTTAGTAAGCTATGTCTTTAATCATCTCTCCTATTTTGTATGAGGAACTATGCTTAATGCATATTTCATACACAGTATTGTAAAAAAGTATTTTTCAAATACTAGGTGCATTTTTTATGTATAATTGAATCCCAATGCTTATTCATTATGTTTAAAGATATATTCAGATTCATTAATGATGCCTATATCTTTTGTTGTGGTGGTTGTTATGCCGCCTATTAGTAGATGTGGGTTTATAATATTAGGGATCAAGAGGCTATTTGACATTGTCTCTCTTGCTTGTATCCCTAATGAAAGGCCACCAGATGAAGAGTGGTGTCATGATTTTTTTAAAAAATAGCTTACGTTGTTATAGCTTAGCTAATTAAAACAAATGTTAGCACGTCTTCTGATTCTAGTTAATAATACTCTAAATAAATACACGCCTTTTAAAAACAGCAAAAATTTATTAAGGATAAGTATATTAAGGATTAATTATTTGGTTCAAAGTGAAATTTAAAGTAAATTATTTCTATGTCTATCTCCATATTTACAGTGTAATGAACACTAGGAGCAAGATAAAACACATAAAAACATGGATTACTTCATTTTCACTATTTAATGCTTTTTAGCCTAAACATTTTTATACTCAAATGTTGAAAATATTTTAATTTTAAACTGTATCTCTCTTGTTGACAGACACTTTTTCTTTGCACAGTAATTTTTTTCTCCTTCGAAAATAAAAGAAAATTGCGTATTATAATAGGCTACTGTAACTTACTCCTAACTCCTTTATTCTGGTAAGTATTGTTAATAATTTAATGAATGTTTTTTATCATTATTCCCTGCCTATTTTCTTAGAGGAGAAAAAATAATAAATTAGAATATGGTAGGGAATTTAGAGCCAGGGCCACTGGTAGCCAAGAAAGTGACAGTTTATCATTGACAGGGTGACACTGATGAAAGAAGGTAGGAGTTACAGCTTACTATGTTTGTCAGGTCAATAATATGTTGATAACATTGAGTCTTCGATAAACATTTCATGTGTGTTCACTATTTTCTGCTGAAGAAAGCAGAAAAATCTAATGTATGCTATGGAAACAATTCCTTTTTTTTTTTTTTTTTTTTTGAGATGGTGTGTTGCTCTTGTCGCCCAGGCTAGAGAGCAGTGGCGTGATATTGGCTCACTGCTACCTCCTGGGTTCAAACGATTCTCCTGCCTCAGTCTCCTGAGTAGCAGGGGTTACAGGCGCCCACCACTGCGCCTGGCTAATTTTTGTATTTTTAGTAGAGACTTGGTTTCACCATCTTGACCAGGCTGGTCTCGAACTCCTGACCTCGTGATCCACCCACCTTGGCCTCCCAAAGTGCTGGGATTACAGGCAACAATTCCTTCTTAAATAGGTTTGATATTTTAAAAAAACTACTTGAAAAAGTACATTCAGATAATTTTTAATATTTGAAAAATCTGCTCATATGTATACTCAATTCTAAATATTCTTGACCAACAAATAATGGCTAATCATAAGATACAAAATAATACATAAATGCTTAGAAAGACTAGATTTGTCTGCCTGAGAGTTCAGGCTTGTTTTGTGAAAACAAAACAACTCCCACAAAGGTAGATGAAATTAAAGGATATTACATGTAAAGGTGAGTAAAGAAGCACAGTTAGTGACAATGTCCTTTGGGGCACAGCATGTGGTCCATCTTTTAAGACCCAGTACCAAGGTGCTCACAAGGAAACCCTGTGTTTGAAATCTTGCTTCGGTATGTTGTCAATGCACTTTTTTCTATCTATTCTACTTTAATTTTTTTCACCTTAACTCTTCCTACAGCTGCTACTACTTTGTCAACTATAATTAACTTTCTAAATTTAGGTTCATAATGGTCTACTAGGATATTTTCAACTGTTTTCTTCCATCTCTGGACTCATCCCCAAAGTGCACTACTATGCCCTATAGGAAATAATTGTGCTTACCAGGAACCATCTGCAGATCTCATGCAAACGTCTAAAAATATGTCTGCGGTTTGTAAGTCCTTTTCTTTTCTTGACAGATCCATTTCTGTTAATTACAATTCTCCATGTCATAATGGAGACATGTATCCATGACAAAAGTTTTATATCACTTTTGATCCTCTCTTTCAATCAAAAATTATTTCCCAGTCATTACTCGCATCAAACATTCTGACAACTTTCCTTTTTATTTCTTCCCAACTACTCCTATCTAGAACATCCTTTCCCCATTTGGCTTTATGGAATTACAAGGACAAACAGGATTGGTATATATTTAAGGTGTAAAATATGATATTTTGATATATGTATAGATAGTGAGATGATCACCATAATCAAACTAATTAACTTATCCATCACCTCACATAGGATTTATTTTTTCCTTCCTTCTTGCCTCCCTCTTTCTTTTTCTTTCTTTTCTTTCTTTCTTTTTCTTTCTTTCTTTCTTTCTTTTCTTTCTTGTCTTTCTTTCTCTCTCTTTCTCTGTCTCTCTCTCTCTTTCTTTCTTTTGTCTTTCAAGGAACACTGAATATCTACCCTCATAGCAAATTTCATAGAATATTTTTACTATAGTCACCATGCTGTACATTACATTTCCAGAATGTATGTAACTAAAACTCTTGTACCCTTTGATCAAAATCTCTCATGTCCCCCTTCACTCACCTTGGCAACCATATTCTCTCTACTTCTATGAGTCAGCCTACTTTAGATTTCACATATAAGTGGGATCATATCATATTCGTCTTTCTGTATCTGCCTTATTTCACTTAACATAATGTTCTTCATATTTATTAATATTGTGGCAAATAGCAGAATTTTCTTTTTAAGGCTGAATGATATTCCATGGCATATATTCATCACTTTTTTATCCATTCATCTTTGATAGAAATTTAGGTTGTTTCCATATCTTGGTGGTTATTAATGTGGCAATGAACATGGGAGTGCAGATATAATGCTTTTTGTGTCTATACTTCCAGTGTCTCTCCAGATACTTTCATACAACACAGACTAATAGCTCTAAAACAATGGCTTCTAACTTCCCATGGAATGAAATATACATGACTAAATCTGGTGTTAAACTCCTTTTCAAACCTGAACTGCATCTGGTTTTCTGGTTGATAGAAACAGTGAGATTGATGACTTAAAGATGAGTACTATCTAAAATTTTATAAATTATATGTTTGGCCCAATTTATTTAAATTCACTCATGCAATTTTTCCTACAATAAATATTATTAAGCGTTCTTACATATTTTTGCAAGTTTCAAATAATTTTATATTCACAAAAGCATGTTATATATTTTAAAGCAAAAACACAGATGTAATAGTACTGGTAATAGGAAGAGAAGGAGGAATAACTTTTTTTCAGTATAATTTTCCACAGTTACCTTATTTAAATAATTTTCTATATTCGAAGAAATATATTCTTATATCCATTAACTTTCTACATTCTGTTACGGATATGGACAGGCAATGGAAAATACTGGGTAGAAGAGTTTGGTTTCCTGGCAGAGGCCCCATCCTTTAGCCTGGAAACCTACAGCCCTAAATGAGAACAGACATTCCTGTTTTCGTGCCCAAAAAGTTGCCTTTTGGCCCATCATACCTCTATCCTGTACCCATATAAACCCTGAACCCCAGGCTCCAGAGGAAGAAGAGCAGATGAATGGCAGAATGGCACAACAGAGAATAGGAGAAGGAGCGTCTGAACACCAAGAGGAGTTCGGCTGGGGATGATTGGAGAGGAGATTGGCTGTTCCATGGCCAAACTCCAGGGGAAGATCATCTTCCCACTCTATCCCCCTTCCAACTCCCCATCCATCCCACCGAGAGCCACCTCCACCACTCAATAAATCCCTCACATTTACCCTTCAAGTCCATGTATGACCTGATTCTTCCTGGATGCCGGTTAAGGACCTGGGTACCGCGAGGACACTAAGCTGGTTAACACTTAACCCATCTATGGACTGCAAAACTGAAAGATTGCATTGAACCCACTTGGGCTTCGTGAGTTTCAGACACACACCCCTAGACACTACCATGGGGCCAGAGCCCAAAATGCTCACCTTGACTCCTGCACCTGACCATCTGTGTACTCCCCCTCCAGTAAGGGGTTTGAGCTCACAGCAGCTGAACAGAGAGCCACACCCCTGTTGCACATCCATCCTGTGTTGGGGGCCAGGGAACTCTCCCCTCACATTACTTTGTACAAATGATGTTGCTCAGTCATTAACCATTGGCCCTCTCCTCAACGTAGTAGCCATCTCAGCACCTCTGCCTCTAGAATCCAAAGCCTAAAGTGATCTCTTCTCTGAACTCCTGGAGCTAATTATACTAAGACATATACGACAATAAATCGTCTTTTAGCATATATTGAGCAATCACTTAAACATTTAATTTTATTTGCTTATATGTTTTGTTATATGATTACAATCTCTTCAATAGAAAAAAAAAGTAAACATTAAGACCAGTGTTGTCACCATGAACATCTGATATAATTTTCAGAGTGAAGAGTCCAAGAAAAGTATACTATTAGAAAATAACTTCCACATGATCATCCTACATATTTTCTCATTTCAATGTTTAGTTTATATTTGCCATACATTTGTGATTTTACCAGATTGTCTTTCCTGGTAGGCAAACAAGTATTTATTTGTATTTATCCATTAATGGACATTCCCCAAATTTATATTTTATGCAAAGAGTTAATGTGTCAGTTCCATAAAACATACAAAGATATTGTGTTTAATAACACTGTTAGTTTTAGAAACTGCATTACCTTTCCTGTGTTGGGGAAAATTGTCTACTGGTTGATATCATTTGGATTTAAGGACTCTTTCTTGATGAGTCTTTATTTTGAGTCTTTATTTTGAGGGATGTTCCTGGCTAAACAGTTTGTTCTCTTTTTTCACTGTCCCAGTCTCTGTAAATTTTTTTCTATTTTTTTCTGACATTAAAAATAATTCTCTTCATTTGTTCATCTCAGTGTTAATTGATTCAATTTATTTTGAATAATGCAATAATAATGATTTTTGGTAAATTACACCTCATGTTACTTAATATTTTTACTTTGTTATTGAGTTGATATAATACAGTTTGATTACTAACTACTTTACAGCATCTTGAAAGCTGTATACAGAAAAATATTAACTGAAGGTCCCTGTTTTGAAGGAATTTGAGGAAAACTGAATTCTTTCCAAAGCATATAAAGGATCTTAAAAAATAATAGCATAAGACGTAATAAATTGTAGAATTGCAATGTAGAATGAGAATACATTTTGCTAAGGGGACTAAAAAACTTCATAGGCAATTAAATTTTGAATTGAGGCTTAAATATCAGGTAGAAATCTGATAAGCAGAAGTAGAGAGAAGGCAGATATTTATTTATTACCAGAAACAAAAGCTGTAAGTAGACTTGGAAGATAAATAGTAAAGTAGAAAAGTATTTGCAATGATGCAGGAGACAAAAATTTTATACCTTCAACATAAGAGATCTAATAGACTGGGTGCGGTGGCTCACCCCTGTAATCCCAGCACTTTGGGAGGCCGAGGTGGGAGGATCACCTGAAGTCGGGAGTTCGAGACCAGCCTGACCAACATGGAGAAACCCTGGCTCTACTAAAAATACAAAATTAGCTGGGCGCAGTGGCACATGCCTGTAATCCCAGCTACTAGGGAGGCTGAGGCAGGAGAATCACTTAAACCTTGGAGGCGGAGGTTGTGGTGAGCCGAGATCATGCCATTGCACTCCAGCCTGGACAACAAGAGCAAAACTCTGTCTCAAAACAAAACAAAACAAAACAAAACGATCTAATAAATAAGAAAAGCATGAACAACTCAATAAAAATGGTAAGAATTATATAAACAATTTGTGATAACCAATAAATATACTAAAGAAATGTCCAACAAAATATTTATTCAATATGTTGTATACTGTGTTAGTCTGTATGGCTAGCAAAAAATAAGGTTATAATATTTATGACTGATGAGTCTTCTATATAGATGACATTAATTAGTACAATGGACACATCCACACACATATAAACACACATAGGCTTTATTTAGAAGTACAATTTCACTTAAAATTTAAGAGACAACATACATAGGAGTTAAAAGTTCAGTTTGCATCTGAACTGCTCAAGTTTAATCCCAGCCATAATTTTCCAAAATTTATTCTTTGACATTGTATATACTTTGATATTGTGTCCTCAGTTTTAAAATGATTATATTATCTATTTTATAGTTTTTTATTGTTTATATTTTTTGAATAATGGGTAAACCATGTATAATCTGTAAAAGAGAGTTTTCTTTAAAGTGATTTGTTATTAAATATTTGCTACTATGAAACAATTTGAAAAAACAGAAATAGCTATGTTTTTAAATTTTAAATGTGCTAAGGTATTATTTATATATAGTATTCTCCATTCTCTTAAAGTGTAGATGCAATGGGTCTGGAAAGTTTTATACACCATCACCTACCTTCACAATCAAGGTATAATCCAAAACTCAGGAAAGATTTCTTGTGCCACTTTGCAGTCCATTCCTCCCTCCACCCCTGACCCTGGTTAACCACGATCTACTTTCTATCACCTTAGGTTAGTTTGCATTTTCTAAAATTTTATGTAAATAGAATTAGAAAACATGTATTTATTTTTCTCTGGCTTGTGTGTCTGTTTTCTAACAAACTTTTTATTTTAAAATAATTTTTGTATTATAGTTAATTTACAAATATAATACCAGAGGTTTCATACACCACTCACCCAGTTTTCTCCATTAGCAGCTTACATTACTATGGAATATATTTTAAAACTAGGAAACCAACTTTTGAAACATTGATCTTATTTGTATTTCTCATTTCTCATTAATATATTTTTTTTCTGTTTCATAATCCAATCCATGGTATCATGTTGCATTGAGCTCTTATGTTTTTAACCTCCTATGATATCTGACAGTTACTCAGTCATTCCTTTCTTTCCTGTGAAATTTACGGTTTTGAGGTATAGTGGGCAGATTTTGCAGATCTCTAAATTTCATTTTAGTTGATTTTTTCCCCCAGTAGGCTGTTGTTATGGATTTAGGGTTGAATATAACAGTAGTTAAGTGCTCTTCTCTTCACATCATATTACTATGTGTTTAAATCCATTTGTACTGCTCTAAAGGAACACCTGAGGCTGCGTGATTTATAAAGATCATAGTTCTGCAGGCTCTACAAGAAGCATGGTGCCGGCATCTGCTTTTGGTGAGGGCCTCAAGCTGCTTCCACTCATGGTGGAAAGGTAAGGGAAGCCAGCATGTGCAGAGATCACATGTTGAAAAAGGAAGGAAGAGAGAAAGTGAGGAGGTGCCAGGCTCTTTTTAACAACCAGCTATACCAGAAAATAACAGAATAAGTCACTCACCCCCACACCCACCAGCCAGGGCATTTATTCATGAGGGATACATTGCCATAACCCGAACACCTCCTATTAGGCCTCCACCTCCTACATTGGGATCAAATAGCAACATGAGGTTTGGGGAGACAAATGCCCAAACTATAGCAGGGTGTATATATGATAGCCACATGAAAACAATGGTGAAATTATCTTTGATCATTTGGTTAAGGTAGGTTTAGCCCTATTTCTCCACTGTGAATTTACTATTTTTCACATTCTATATTCTGTTCTTTGTGAGTGATTCACTAAATCCAGCTCACCCACAAGATGGAATGGAGAAGATTAAGTTTCACTTCATGGGGAGGAGGGGGAATATCTATGTAAATTATTTGACATCCGTTTAAAAGAAAGATTTCTTTTTTTCCACTATTTATTATATCAATATGGATTCATGTTCATTGAACTCATGATGGTGGGTTATAATCCAGTACTATGTTCTTTATTGCTGGAATTGCTTTAGCTTTGGCCATTACTTTCCTACTTTCTGACACTACAAGAGATCCACCCTTATTTTGTATTTGTTTTCTCAGTGCCTAGAATCAACTGTTTCTCTAATTGCCCTTATTCTTTTTAGTTGAAACTTATCTTTAGAATCCAAGTTTAGGCACTGAGTATGCTTAATAGTTTTGCAGTATTGTTGCTTCTTGGCCTCCTAGAAAATAGAACTAGGTAAAATTGTATGTATATGCTAACACATTTATATACATATGCCTATGATTATTTTTGTATGTATTCAAATGTACGTATTTTAAGCTAAACATATTTATATATTTTTAAACATGCCTCTGATAGAATGCACTTATATGAACCACATTTTATTTCATTTATTCCTCGCAAAGACTCTATGGCGTGGGTACTATTCTTAACCCCATTTTATACATGAAGAAAAATAAATTTAAGAAGATTAATTAACACTGAGGGAGGAGTAACAGCTGGACATTAAACATAGTATGGTTTTGAGTTGGGATCAAATTGCAGATAGGCAAAAATATATACCAGAAAGGCAAAGGGGAAAACTGAACTTTTTTTATTTTTTTAAATATGATTTTTGGCCAGGTGTGGTGGCTCATGCCTGTAATACCAGCACTCTGGGAGGCCGAGGTGGGCAGATCACTTGAGGTCAGGAGTTCGAGACCAGTCTGAGCAACACGGTGAAGCCTCATCTCTACCAGAAAATACAAAAATGAGCCAGGTGTGGTGGTGTGTGCCTGTAATCCCAACTACTAGGGAGGCTGAGGTGGGAGAATCACTTGAACCCTGGAGGCAGAGGTTGCAGTGAGCTGAGATTGTACTACTGTACTCCAGCTGGGGCGACAGAGTGAAAGCCTGTCTCCAAAAAAAAAAAAAAAAAAGGAAGAATATATACTTTTTAAAGACTCTGGATTTGGGGTAAAAATATTTAGCCAGAGTGTAAATAGCCTAACTGAATTGACAGCAAATTCCTTTTGATGGGCAGAAACTATATGGATTGTTGTGCTGAAAGTCACAAGGTCATGCCTGGGATTTTAGCATAATGCTGTGATCAATTAACAATGCCTGCCAAGGACACCAAGGATGAGTGGCAGTGTGTTATATTTAGCAACTCTATAACACCCTATTTTCTGTAGTCACAACTTTCAATCAGTCATGTAATTCTCACAACCTAGAATTTAGTGCACTAAATTAATTTTTTTCACTCACTTATATTCCTCACAAAACTGTAAATGTTATGAAAGAGAAATTCCATCCATCTAAGTTACTTTTGCACTCAGGGTGTCCAGTTTAGCCATACTACATAAGTGGATTATAAATTGTAAAATAAGAAATAATATAATGCATAGCTTACTTTGAAATCACTTATGAACAAACAGAACCTTATTAGGTGAAGAATACACACAGCCAAGTTTAAATTATTGTGACAGTACAATGTTCTCAAAGGTCGTCTGTGAATTACTAGTATCCTTACTGTAATTTAAATCGAGATGCAAAATGACAGGTGAAAGTTTCCAACACCAAATCTTTTAACATCTATTGTAGCAATAGTCCTATATAATCTCATTATTGCTGCAACAGTTATAAAGTCAATGGCTTGTAAAATATATGATATAATGAATATTCATGTTGCACAGATTGTAATAGAAATGCTCTAGAACTCCACCTTCCTTTCTAATACATTCTAGTCATGTAGTACTCTCTCTGAGATAGTTTTTTTTTTCTTTTTTAACCATGTATTGGTTGATTCATGAATTTACACAAGCATGGAGATGAACCCTGCAACCTGAACAGATACTATGTGTGTCTGTGAAGTATTAAGACAGAATCATTGTAGAATCTTACCTTGTTTTAGGAATATGCTACCTCTTTATGGGAGAAAAGAAAAAAACAACTTCCATCGTATACAAATGCAGGCATCTATATCACAGAGTAAATGGAGACAGAGAAAAGTAAATATTGCATTTCTGTATCTGGAATAAATATATAATACCACAGTCAGTGACATTTAATTTATTTATTTCAGTATGTTAACCACAACATTAAGGTATTAGTGTTAACATTAGGATTAACTTATTTATTTTCCCAGAGACTTGAGATAAATCCATGCCTTTTATTCTGTCTGCAATATGACCAGAAGAAATAGCTATGAATGTATTTGACTTTTCTGATAAAATGCTAAATAATAAAATTTTTCACAACTGTTGACACTGAAGAAAAGAAGATTGCATATTAGAATATATTTCCTATCAGTGCTTTTATGACTTATACTACACTAGGATATGTAGAATAAAAAGAATGATGGTAAATCTAAAAAATAAATAAATTTTGAAAAAAATGCTGATCTTTAATGTAGTTTTGAGTGACTACTTTTTTTTAATATTTTATATATTTTCTGATTTTTGACATTAATTGACAAAAAGGTAGAAATCTATCTATGATGAAAGTACAATTATCAAGAATATAAAATCAAATATAATTTCTAATTGATAAAAAATAT